>NC_000006.12:160070790-160222305 GCF_000001405.40 Homo sapiens
GGTGGGCAGCAGTGGTAGGGGAGCTTGGGATGGGGGGCTCCAGGAGCTTCAGGCCTGCCCTCTTGCCTGGAGCGGCAGGGAAGTTTCCTCTTGGGAAGATTGTGCAGAGGCTTAGTCCAGACTCATGAGCTGCTGGGGCCTCTGAGCATTCTCCTCTGTGACCTGAGAGGCTCATGGCCGAGGACAAAAGGGCTGCCCCACATGTGGGGGGCAAAGGTGAGAGGGTGTGTGGGGCCCCTGTGCCCAGGGCCCAGAAGGCTGGGAGGGAAGGGTGAAGGGGTGTGTGGGGTTCCCCATGTCCAGAGCCCAGGAGGCTGGGAGGGAAGGATGAGGGTGGTGTGTGGGGGCCTCTGTGCCCCAGACCCAGGAGGCTGGGAGGGAAAGGTGAAGGGTGTGTGGAGGCCCTGTGCCCCAGACCCAGGAGGCTGGGAGGGAAGGGTGGGGGTGTGTCGAGGCCCCTGTGCCCAGGGCCCAGGAGGCTGGGAGGGAAGGGTGGGGGTGTGTCGAGGCCCCTGTGCCCAGGGCCTGGGAGGCTGGACTGCAGCGTGGCTTATCAGGGTGCCCAGCAGGAATCATGGGGTTTACCTGGGAAGGAAGGTGCTGCTGAACTCATCATGCTAACTCTGCAGTGGACATGAAGCGTTTTGAGATGAGCAGAGTAAGCCTTGGCTGGTGCCAGTGGGAGGATGCGTGGAATGGGCTAGTTCTCTTGGTATATCTTTTTGTTTTGACTGTGATAATGGATTTTACCTCATTTGGTTTTTAGAATTTTATCAATGATTTACACATTTGTGTCTCCCTGTAGCCCTTCCAGCATCCTTTGCACGCCTGTCCCCAACCCCTGTCCTGTTCCTCAGCCTGAGGGAGCTTCCTGGTCCCCTAAGTGTGTTGCTGCCTGTGGGTGTTTCACTTACCTGCAGGGGAAGCCCATGGTGGCAGCTCAGGACACATTCTGACCCTTTGCTTTTCCTAATCTGCGCCTCATCCCACAGGCACATGGAGACAGAAATGTCACATGCTGTGGAGTTTTTCAGAGAAGCTTCCACTTGTAAGTTGAAATCATGATAGACATGGAGTTTTTGCGTGATCCCTTCAGGACCTGTCTGTGCTTTGTTGTAGAACTCCAGGCCCATGTTCATCAGCGCCGTGGAGGACTGTGAGTACACCTTTGCCTGGCCCACAGCCACAGCCTGTCCCATGAAGAGCAACGAGCATGATGACTGCCAGGTCACCAACCCAAGCACAGGTGAGAGGTGGTGCCAGTCGTTAACCCCAGCGCAGGTGAGAGACGGTGCCCCCACCAAACCCAGCTCATCAGGGGAGAGACCCAAAGAGAAGCTATGGGCAGCAGGCGCCCTGGGCAGAGGTGTCATGGTGTGTGGGTGTGTTTGGCCTTTCTCTGGATGGGCTGCTGTGTGTTCTCCTGGCTCTCCTTCAGTGGAGGAGAGAATGCTCCCACAGAGAATCCATCCCTCCTGTCACTCTCCTGGTGTGAGAGGTGCTCCTGACTGGGGTTACTGACAGTGTCAGTCCAGCAGCTCTAGGCTCTCCAGGGCAGGTTAGAGCTAGCCCCTGGCTGCCTTTCAGCATCAGTGTAGTGGATTGCCAGGAGTCTCTCACCTGCCCTTGTGCTGGGCACCCAGAAAGGCACAGGCACAGTCCATTGGCAGCAAGAGGTGTGCTGGGCAGGCTCTCCCCATGCCCACCAGACTCTTAGTGGCTGCTGTGGTATGGCCCAGCAGAGGGTGCTGTGAGCCACGATCTTTTCAGCTAAGGATGGGACATCTCATGGATCAAGGGACTGACAGTCTCATGATACAGCCTGGCTGTTGGTGGAGGATTTAGGACAGGGGTCGTGGTGAGAAGTCAGAAGTCCCGATGCTGACATAATCTGTGTGTGAGCTCGCCGATGATGAGCCTCCCAAGTCTCAGCTCCCTGGAGTCACTGTGTCCCCATCTTCTTCCACCCTACAGGACACCTGTTTGATCTGAGCTCCTTAAGTGGCAGGGCGGGATTCACAGCTGCTTACAGCGAGAAGGGGTTGGTTTACATGAGCATCTGTGGGGAGAATGAAAACTGCCCTCCTGGCGTGGGTGAGTGCTGTGGTCTCTCGTGTGTTGTCTGACTCTCCCGTCCTCTGGGGTTGTCCTCAGTCTCTTTGCATGCTAATGGCAAAAAGGATGAGCAGAGCCAGGAAGCTGAGACGCTTTTGTCTCCTGCAGCAGTCACCCCATGTGGGGGACACATGGTCATGTGATGGAATGAACATTCAATGTAAAACAATGGTTAAAGCCGGATTGGACACTTGAAGTTATAAGTGTTGGCTATGAAATTGATGGTCCTGACTTGCGAAAGTTCTCATCAGAAAATTGGCCATCGAGTCTGTGATTGTGTTTTCTCCGCCTTTCCCTTGTGGTGCAGGGGCCTGCTTTGGACAGACCAGGATTAGCGTGGGCAAGGCCAACAAGAGGCTGAGATACGTGGACCAGGTCCTGCAGCTGGTGTACAAGGATGGGTCCCCTTGTCCCTCCAAATCCGGCCTGAGCTATAAGAGTGTGATCAGTTTCGTGTGCAGGCCTGAGGCCAGGCCAACCAATAGGCCCATGCTCATCTCCCTGGACAAGCAGACATGCACTCTCTTCTTCTCCTGGCACACGCCGCTGGCCTGCGAGCAAGCGGTGAGTTTTCAGATGGGCACGGGAGAAGTGCATGTCCAGTGCCTGGCTGCACCCGGGCCCCTTCGTCAGGTTCACTTGCCCACTAGTAGATGCCCAGCTGAACTGTCCACTCCTGATCACCCCAATAATAAAGTTGACTGGAAGTGCCCAGTGCTATGTAATGAAGCATTTTGACACCTTTCTACTTTTTTTGTTGTTGTTATTCAGCTTTTAAATTCTTATGGATGACCTAGTGGTGATTAGGAAAATTTTTTTGTAGACTCAAAGCAGTCTTTCCTACTTAACAGACCGAATGTTCCGTGAGGAATGGAAGCTCTATTGTTGACTTGTCTCCCCTTATTCATCGCACTGGTGGTTATGAGGCTTATGATGAGAGTGAGGATGATGCCTCCGATACCAACCCTGATTTCTACATCAATATTTGTCAGCCACTAAATCCCATGCACGGAGTGCCCTGTCCTGCCGGAGCCGCTGTGTGCAAAGTTCCTATTGATGGTCCCCCCATAGTAAGTATGACAAATCCAAGGGTGGAGATAATTTTTGCAAGACTTTTAGTGATAACCTTTGCGTTGTTTCTTGCCTTCAGTGGGGAGTTGCTCAAGCATAAAAAAAATGGAGAAAGTAAGTGGGACTGTGTATGTTCTGGGTCCGCTACTGGAAGATTAAAGGTTTGCACATTGAACTGTTCGCTGATGATGGTAGCCAGCCAGTCTTTGAGCATGGGAGGTAACACGAATATGTGTGTAGGGACTCTACTTGTCATGAGCCTCAGGGTTGACCCAAATCAAGAAGTTTTTAGGTGAAGTGACAGGAAAGCACATTGCCCTAGCCTGGTTTCTTTGTGTGAAATGCCTTGTCTTCTGTAGTTAAAACGCTTGCGAAATGCAAACAGTTTCTTTGGCAAGGAGTTATAATTAAGGGCAAGAGTACGTTTGCTAATAGCTAAATATTTTGCCTTAAAAGCTTTGGTTTTATGCATTAAAAAATTATTTTGTAGAGATGGGAGTATTGCTATGTCACCCAGCCAGGCTGGCCTCAGGCTCCTGGCCTTAAGTGATCCTCCTGAAGTTCTGGGATTACAGGCATGAGCCACAGTGCCTGGCTTACTAGCATGTTTTAATAGAAATTTGGATCTTTAAAAATTGTCTCCATGAGTTATATTCATATTTTGTCAAATCCTTGGTATGTTTTAATATTTGAATGTATCTCACAAGTCGTCTGTATTTCTGTCTGTATCATCTATTATGCTTTAAAGATGGATCCTCTTGTAACATATCTAGATGTCCTTTAGAAAGATGGCCATTATATGTGGCAGTGATATGGGGAGATGTCAGGAGTGTGTAAGGAGATCGGCCACAGCCTGAATTAGCACAGCTCCAGCTCTGTGTGAGATGGAGGCCTGGACAAGCTGAGTCTCCCCAGGAAGCTCTTTGGTAGCGTCCTTTCTGACAGCGCAGACCGGGGATCCTCGATCGGGAATCATTGCCTGGCCACCCATTGTCAAATGTTAAAAGATGTAGAAAGTTATTTAACTGGAGAAGGTGTGGTGCCACGTGGTCTGAACGTGCCCCACAGTGGTGAATGAAGAGCACTGTAGCTGAGAACAAAATCATGGGGAAGCTGCTTATACACACACTCACACCCACATGCACACACACGTGCATGCACACACACATTCATCACATACACAGTTCCTGGCCATTCACCTTTATTTACTTTTTAAAAATAAAAAAAGAGTTTTTTGTTTTTTTTCTCATAATACTCAGACTGGTCTTTTATTTATTTGTTTATTCACTCAAAAATATCTCTTGGGCAGCCGCTGTGTGCCAGGTGCTGTGCTAAGCAATGAAAATGAACAGTGAACACCTCCTGTCCCCTCTCCCAAGGACATAGCCAGTGGTTACTGCTGGGCCACGTCAGTGGGCAGTCCCGGGGCAGCACTGGGCAGTGAGGGTGGCAGGTCAGCATGGAGGTTCCGGCCTTCCCCTGTCAGGTGGTGGGAGGACCGTGTAGCATCCTTAGAGGTTTTTCAGGTTCCGGGCTTCCCTCATCAGCTGATGGGAGGACTCTGTAGTCTCCTTGATGTGACTGGAGAGATTCCTATTGCTTAGGATCTTTGAAAATTGAAGATACCTAGAAATAGAACCAACCTTAGAACTAACGTTAGGATCAAAACGATAACCACTGACATACGGAGGTTACACAGCATCTGTCAAGCCTTCCAACTGGAGTTGGTATAAACCCAGTTTCTTTAGATGCTGCTCATTCTCAGAACCTATGAGGTCTGGTTTTTGCAATTCTGTATCAATTCTTAATTCCACTAACCTTGGGAATGGTTAATTTCCTGAAATACTGTTTGCCCTCGCTCTTTGTTTAGGATATCGGCCGGGTAGCAGGACCACCAATACTCAATCCAATAGCAAATGAGATTTACTTGAATTTTGAAAGCAGTACTCCTTGCTTAGCGGACAAGCATTTCAACTACACCTCGCTCATCGCGTTTCACTGTAAGAGAGGTGTGAGCATGGTAAGTGTGGGCCTGTGACGATCTAGATGCTCAACTGCGGGTTAGTGAGCCAAGGCTAGACAACCAGAAAGTGCGTGTCAGGTCCAAGGATACTCTTATTCAAAATGTCTGCCTTGGGTAAGATGGTACGCTAGTAGTGTGTCTGAATAATTTAAACCACTGATTGAGGGCTGAGTGAGCTCCCCCGCAGTTAACAGCATATAGAAACTTGCTGTAATTTAAAAACATAGAACACAAGTATAGAAATGACATTCAGCTTTGACTGCTGATGCATAAAAGTGTCATAACTTTTGTTTTTACTTTAACAATTACTGATTTTATTCTAACTGGGAAGTCAGAAAGACATTTGGGCAGCTATAGTCACTCAGGACATAGCCCAGAAGTTAACAAGTAACAAAAGACCCCTGGAATCAGAATAGCTACAACAAAGTGGCACCTTTTACTTATAATGAGGTATTGACTTCCATTTTATGTGCATTAAAAAAAGAATACCAGCTTCCATTATAATGAGTTCGGTATTGGTTATAGTCTTTGAGGACGTTTTCTTTTGATCCCTGCTCTGTGAGATAAATTGGTAGATTATGGCCCCTATTCCACAGGGACTCAGAGTAGCTCTGCAGGGGCAGAGCCAGGTCCCAGCTACTGCACAGGGGAACAGCTCTTTGCTCCAGGGACACAGCACCACAGCCTGTCGTCTGTGCTTCTGAAATCTCTGAAGCTCTGAAAACTTGGGGCTCCTTTGACATGAATGGACTGAGGCTATTTATGGTGTGGATTTGTCCCACCTAATGTGGATATTGATACATCTAGCTGCAGAAATATTAATATGTTTGATCACAGGATCTGGGGGTGTGAGAATTGCCTCTTAAAATCCTAATAAAGATGTTGGATTCCAAGGCTCATCTGACCCCTAGGAGTTCAGGTGATGGATTAGGATCTGTTGGGTGTCTTGTAATTCTGATAAAGACATCCTTCTGATGTTTGGGCCTGGAGCAGGTTTGTAAAGGGACTGTTAGACATGGGTGTGCTGACAGTGACAGAAAGTGACCTGGCAGCCGCCTGACCAGTGAGAGAGACAGTATTTGAGAAGGAGGAGGAAACAGTCCTGCTGTTTGGGGCTACTCCACAGGGGCCCAGAGCACCTCAAAGCCCTTGGATGTGTTCATGAATCTTAGAGTGTAGTGACAGTCCTAGTTAGTAAGGAAAGGCAGAGCTGTATTCAGTCCACCCATTGCATCTGTTTATAAGCGTATTGGCATATTTTTATAGGGGTGTCTGGGTGTGCCTCTGTAGATGCACACAGCATGGGGCAACGTGGATTTTGCCTTGCGGGGGGCTTCTGCATTAAGTTCTTCGTTCTTTAAAGGACAGTCTTCACTTCTAAGACCCACCTCATCATGAGTGATGCTTTGTTATCTACACCACCAGCTAAAGAGTGTGGAACTATGCCTTGCTTTGACTCTGCTGCCAACGTGACAAATCGAATTAGCTAATGTGATTTTAGTTAATTCTCAGCAGCTGCACATTGAGGGTGATTAGTGTTTACTTGATTTTAGAAATGAAGCATCTTATGCTGAATGTGTGTTCTAGCGTTCCAGAAAGATTTTTAGAAGATTTTTCTTCCCCAGCAGTTTTCATTTTCAATGGAAGTACTTTTACCACTGAATCATAGGGAAAAAGATGCTTAACATTAATTACAAATGGAATTCCTGAGAGCTGCCTCATCTTTTTTTGTTGCTGTTGAATGAGGGAGGGAATAAATAAAGTGATTCTACAATACTTGGCCTATGGAATATCTGGCCATGTGGCATCTTGCCCCTTGAATAAATGTCTCCCGTGTCTAGAGACAGTAGATTGGAGCACTTGTGAGGCAGGGTCTCAGTTTCACAGACCTCTCTCATGACATATAAGCCCTCCCCCTTTCTTCCTTTGAACCCGTAGCACAGAACATTGAGGCTTTCTCTCTAAGTAGAAGACAAGACCTGGATTCAGCCAGGGAGCTCACAGGATGTGTAGGGGGCAAGGGCAGGGTGATGTCTGTGCCTTGAAGATGGCATTGGGTCTTTCAGCTGCTGTTGTCTAGCATCCCTTCCCTCTGAGAGGCCGCTGTGGGTTATGCACAGCCCCTGTAGGGACGTGGTGTGTCACTGCTATCTATCCCTATGCCATGGGGTTTTTAAGACCCGTGCTCTTCCTGGCAACAGGGAACGCCTAAGCTGTTAAGGACCAGCGAGTGCGACTTTGTGTTCGAATGGGAGACTCCTGTCGTCTGTCCTGATGAAGTGAGGATGGATGGCTGTACCCTGACAGATGAGCAGCTCCTCTACAGCTTCAACTTGTCCAGCCTTTCCACGAGCACCTTTAAGGTAATGCGTTCACCCTGGGCGTTGCTGGTGCAGGTGTACCAGGTGCCAGGTGCTGTGAGGCTGCTGGGAGTGTTTTGGATAATGTGGTACCTGTGAGCTGAGAGGGTGTATGTGGCCACTGGGCAGCATCTTGGTGCTCTCGTAGGGCATGCCAGGTCTCAGGAAGGTTCTTGGATTGCGTGGCCAACTCAGCGCAGCTGACACTTGCGTTGTACCTCATGGCTCTGCACTTAACGCTTTTTGATGATAAGTAACCTCATGAGGCGGGTAGTGGGACCCTTTGTATCAGACAGAGGGCAGGTGGGGCAGCCCGGAGACATGAATGTAAGGTATCCATGGGGACAGGGCCAGCTCCTGGGTGGCTGAAATCTACAGGGATTTAATTCCTCCAACCTGGTTGAAGATGATCAAGGCAGTTGTTTGCTGATTGTGGCAGCTTTGGGAAGAGGGAGGTAGGAGGTGCCCTGGAATTGAGAGGCACTTGGGCATGTGCCTCCATGCCATGCCAGAGCCCTGGCGTGTGCTGATTCTTTGGGCTGCTGGTCTTACTGATGTGGTGTCGTGGTCACTGGTGCCTGGGGGCCCCTGACTCCCTAAGCCTAGATATCTAGATGTTACCATGCCAGTGCCTGGACTGGGGTACGGAACCCCAGCACCTGCTGTGGCACGGCGGCTGGTGAGTGATGAGCCTGGAGTTTTGGGCCCAGGTGTCAACACCCTGGCTCCTGTGATGGAGCCCTCTGCCTGGGTACAGGTCCTCCCGACAGGTGTGCAGTAGGTGTGAGCCTTCTGGGCGCTGGGTGGGCCAGGAGAGTCAGGTCCATGCTTCAGCGTGCAGCGTCGGCTCTGCTCATTCACTCACTTGGCCCGCACAATGTCTTATTACACAGGTGAGGGAGGTGGGGTGACCCCACTGCTGGGTCCCTTCTCACTGGGCTCTGACTGGAGACGACAGCCAGAGCAGTGGCTGGCTGGCAGGGGTGGCCGAGGCCCCCAGCAGGGAGCAGGAGGAGCAAGCAAGCTGGGCCTAGGGGTTGGGGGAGGCCCCCCAGGGAAAGCCTAGGGCCAAGGCGATTGCGTGGCTCTGATGCACACAGAGGAGTCTTTGCTCTTCCTCATGAACCTGCCTCCAGCATCAGCTGCAATAGTGGTTCTCTCTTCACTTTGAGACCTGGGTGCTGCCACTCTGCTGACGGCCACGCATGGTTTTTGTCCAGGTGACTCGCGACTCGCGCACCTACAGCGTTGGGGTGTGCACCTTTGCAGTCGGGCCAGAACAAGGAGGCTGTAAGGACGGAGGAGTCTGTCTGCTCTCAGGCACCAAGGGGGCATCCTTTGGACGGCTGCAATCAATGAAACTGGATTACAGGCACCAGGATGAAGCGGTCGTTTTAAGTTACGTGAATGGTGATCGTTGCCCTCCAGGTAAATATTTGCAATGAGGTAAATAAACTTCAAGCTCATAGTAAACTAGAAATTAGACATAGCAGCAGAAAGAAGCTGCGGAGTGGAGCTCCACGGTCCTATGAGTGCTGTAACCTTGGGCGTGAATGTGAGCTGTTCCTCTGTACACCCCCGGTGTGAATGCTGGTGTGTGAATCACGCTGTGTTCTCTCAGTTGCCTGGTGAGTTTTGGCAGGTGAATGCCGGTTGTCACGTAGGTGCTTTAGGATGGGCAGCTTCCTTAGGGACTGCTGCTGCATTCTGAGGTGATTGTGCCTGGCGAGGCACAGCTGCCACACTGATAATGTTCTTCTTCTTTCCAGAAACCGATGACGGCGTCCCCTGTGTCTTCCCCTTCATATTCAATGGGAAGAGCTACGAGGAGTGCATCATAGAGAGCAGGGCGAAGCTGTGGTGTAGCACAACTGCGGACTACGACAGAGACCACGAGTGGGGCTTCTGCAGACACTGTGAGTAGGACGGCTCCGCGTCCCCACATGGCCTGGGGCCTTGATACTGTCAAGGCTCGATTCACACTGAGACCTTTGTGGATGCCCCAGTCAGTGGCAGGAATTCTCTTGCATAAAATATTTTCTTACTCGGGCTGTTTCCCACAGAGAAACGTTTGAATTGCTCTGTGGGATTGCTGGGTAACCGTATCTACAGACCGTGGTAGAGCTGCCGTGAGATGCTGTGCTGGGTGGCTGGCTAGGCCCACTCACTAGCTGGAGGGCCTTGTGTCCACATACCAGGTTTTAGCCCTGGTGGTTCAGATTATGCCTCAGGAAAATGAATGTCTGCTATGGGTCTTCAGGATTCTGAAGCTAGTGAGGATTCCGGTAAACCAGGCGACTCATTTATTGACTTTCCGCCATGTGGCAGCCCAGGTGGGGATGGAGGTTTCTTGGTGAGCCACACTCAGTGCCTTGCCCCTGCGGTGCTCAGGAAGTTTCATGAGAGGAGCCAACTGCTGTGACTTGTGTCTACGGACCGTGAGATGAGGGAAATGCATGAAAAATTACTAATTTTTGGCCAGGCGCGGTGGCTCACGCCTGTAATCCCAGCACTTTGGGAGGCTGAGGCGGGTGGATCACGAGGTCAGGAGATTGAGACCATCCTGGCTAGCATGGTGAAACCCCGTCTCTACTAAAAATACAAAAAAAAAAAAAAATTAGCTGGGCGTGGTGGCGGGCGCCTGTAGTCCCAGCTACTGGGGAGGCTGAGGCAGGAGGATGGTGTGTACCCGGGAGGCGGAGCTTGCAGTGAGCCGAGATCATGCCACTTCACTCCAGCCTGGGTGACAGAGTGAGACTCGGTCTCAAAAAAAAAAAAAAGAAAAATTACTAATTTTCATAAATGTCCAGTATCGGGGGAACCAGCCCCCGATTTTTCAACGTAGGTTCTTTTCTATTTCCCTAAGTGTTGGCCGGTCTGAGAAATAAGGGGAAAGAGTACAAAAGAGAGAAATTTTAAAGCTGGTGTCCGGGGGAGACATTACATGTTGGCAGGTTCTGTGATGCCCCCGAGCCGCAAAACCAGCAAGTTTTTATTAGCAATTTTCAAAGGGGAGGGAGTGTACGAATAGGGTGTGGGTCATGGAGATCACATGCTTCAAGGATGACAAGAGGTCACAAGGCAGAAGGTCAGGGCAGGATCACAAGGTCAGCGCGAAACTAGAATCACTAAATAACTTCCATGTCCCACTGTGCACACATTGTGAGGGTTCAAGAGCAGAGAACCGGTTTAACTAGAATTCGCCAGGCTGGAATTTCCAAATCCTAGCAAGCCTGGGGGCGCTGCAGGAGGCCAGGGCGTGTTTCATCCCTTATCTGCAACTGCATAAGGCAGACACCCCTAGAGTGGCCATTTAAGAGGCGCCCCTGCCTTCCTCCCGGGAATGCATTCTTTTCCCAGGGCTGTTAATTATTAAAATTCCTTACTGGGGAAAGAATTCAGCGATATTTCTCTTACCCGTTTTCGGTAATAAGAGAAATATGGCTCTGTCCTCACCGGCCCACAGTCAGCCAGACTTTAAGGTTATCTCACTTGTTCCTTGAAAATCACTGTTATCCTGTTCTTAAGGTGCCCAGATTTCATATTGTTCAAACACACATGCTTTACGAACAATTTGTGCAGTTAATGCAATCATCACAGGGTCCTGAGGCGACATACATCCTCAGCTTACGAAGATGATGGGATTAAGAGATTAAAGTAAAGACAGGCATAGGAAATTATAATATTGATTGGGGAAGTGATAAATGTCCATGAAATCTTCACAATGTATATTCTTCTGTCACGGCTTCAGCAGGTCCCTCCGTTCATGGTCCCTGACTTCCCGCAATAGTCCAGGGACCAAAATGGGATGTATTAAGGAACCAAACGTGTTAAATTTACGAAGGATTGCTATAGCTTTGTTTTGAGGCTTATTTTGACAAAACGTTATTCCCTATTTTCTGAATCACACTCCTGTTTTCAAGTACTTGTAGGTATTACATTATTATCTTAAATTTTTTTTTTTTTTGAGATGGAGTTTTGCTCTTGTTGCCCAGGCTAGAGTGCAGTGGTGCAGTCTTGGCTCACTGCAAGCTCCACCTTCTGGTTTCAAGTGATACTCCTGCCTCAGCCTCCCAAGTAGCTGGGATTACAGGGGCCCGCCACCTCACCCAGCTAATTTTTTTGTATTTTTGGTAGAGATGGGATTTCACCATGTTGGTCAGGCTGGTCTCCAACTGCTGACCTCATGATCCGCCCACCTCGGCCTCCCAGAGTGCTGGGATTACAGGCGTGAGCCACCGCGCCCAGCTATCTTATTTTTTTTCGTGATCATTAGTAGATTGGTCAAATATTGAATACCCGTGTGAGGAATCACCTAGGGCTGTGGGGTTATTAAGAAGTACGATGAAAGGCTGTGTGCCAAGGAGCTGGGTCTATTTGGAGTCAGGATACACATGAGTGAATCAACATGAGATGTGGCCAGGGCAGCACGTGGTGTGTTGCCAGATGGCGGATGGAGTCTGCAGGTGCTCCTGAGGCAGCATGGGGAAGGCGTGCAGGAACGTGCCCTGGTGCAGGCCTTGGTCTGACATTCTCCCGCCTCTGCTCCCCTGAAGGGGTGGCCTGCCCCTCCACACTTGTGGGTATTTCTAGTCGGGTGGGATGAGAGACTGAGAAAAGAAATAAGACACAGAGACAAAGTATAGAGAAACAACAGTGGGCCCAGGGGACCGGCACTCAGCACACCAAGGACCTGCACCGGCATCGGCCTCTGAGTTCCCTCAGTTTTTATTGATTATTATTTTCATTATTTTAGCAAAAAAGGAATGTAGTAGGAGAGCAGGGTGATGATAAGGAGAAGGTCAACAAAAAACATGTGAGCAAAAGAATCTATATCATAATTAAGTTTAAGGGATGGTACTATGCCTGGACATGCACATAGGCCAAATTTATGTTTCTCCCCACCCAAACATCTCAGCGGAGTAAAGAATAACAAGGCAGCATTACTGCAAACGTGTCTCGCCTCCCGCCACAGGGCAGCTTTTCTCCTATCTCAGAGTTGAACAAATGTACAATCGGGTTTTATACCGAGACATTCAGTTCCCAGGGGCAAGCAGGAGAAAGTGGCCTTCCTCCATCTCACCTGCAAGAGGCTTTCCTCTTTTACTAATCCACCTCAGCACAGACCCTTTACGGGTGTCAGGCTGGGGGACAGTCAGGTCTTTCTCATCCCACGAGGCCATATTTCAGACTATCACATGGGGAGAAACCTTGGACAATACCGAGCTTTCCAGGGCAGAGGTCCCTGCGGCCTTCCGCAGTGCATTGTGCCCCTGGTTTATTGAGACTAGAGAATGGCAATGACTTTTACCGAGTATACTGCTTATAAACATTTTGTTAACAAGGCACGTCCTTCACAGCCCTAGATCCCTTAAACCTTAATTTTATACAACACATATTTTTGTGAGCTCCAAGTTGGGTCAAAGTGGCTGGGGCAGAGTGGCTGGGGCAAAGCTACAAATTAACAACATCTCAGCAAAGCAATTGTTTAAAGTACAGGGCTTTTTCAAAATGGAGTCTCTTATGTCTTCCCTTTCTGCATAGACACAGTGACAGTCTGATCTCTCTCTCTTTTCCCTACACTCCCCAGCAAACAGCTACCGGACATCCAGCATCATATTTAAGTGTGATGAAGATGAGGACATTGGGAGGCCACAAGTCTTCAGTGAAGTGCGTGGGTGTGATGTGACATTTGAGTGGAAAACAAAAGTTGTCTGCCCTCCAAAGAAGTTGGAGTGCAAATTCGTCCAGAAACACAAAACCTACGACCTGCGGCTGCTCTCCTCTCTCACCGGGTCCTGGTCCCTCGTCCACAACGGAGTCTCGTGAGTGCCTTCCCAGTCCACCCGCGGCGCCACACCCTCAGCATGTGAACTTCAGACTGCTTGACGATGGTTGGCTCTTTTGGGTTCTCAAGATGGGAATACTATGCCCATGTGAGGCTGATGGTGGTTGAGTTGTGACTGTTCCTGGAAGCAGCCCGCAGTGTCAATCCTGGCACAGAGGGTGGTTCTGAGGTCAGAGTGGGGGCAGGAGCTTTGGTGACTGGAAACGGAGCCTCTGGAGCTGGAAGAACCTGGGCGGACTGAGTTAGGCTGGGTTTGATTTGCGTTTGTGTGTAGCTCAGGTTGTGGGAGGCGTGTGGGTTTTCTCGGGTCTTTGGCAGGAGCTCCTTAGGCTTTGCTGGCTGGGGTCAGCCCATGGTCCTGACCACTCTGCGTGGGGAGCGCCCGCTTGGCCAGGTGCTCCTGCAAGACATCACCGAGGAGCAGGGGCATGGACTCACAGGGTTTAAGTGGTTCTAAGTGAGGTGGGAAACTTGCCGAGATTCTAGCCACTGCCTCTCCCAGCCCCGGAGCCCTTCTTTCTACTGTACCACGCTGTGTCCAGGGTGGCCGCAGGTGTGGACATTCCACTCCGCGTGTGTCTGGTTGGTGAGCTCCCTTCTTCAGTGAAGACTTCTTTTGCCCTTTTTTTTTTTAATTGGAAAAGCTATTTTAGTGCTACATTCAGTGATGGAATGGAGCCCTTAGTTATCAGAACCTTTCTCTGAAAGTAAAGTGAAGAGCCCTCCTGTGTCAGGGCAGAGACGTCACTTGCATGCCTTTTACCTGCCCCTTTGTGTCGTTTTCTAGGTACTATATAAATCTGTGCCAGAAAATATATAAAGGGCCCCTGGGCTGCTCTGAAAGGGCCAGCATTTGCAGAAGGACCACAACTGGTGACGTCCAGGTCCTGGGACTCGTTCACACGCAGAAGCTGGGTGTCATAGGTAAGGCCTGTGGGTCCTGGTCCTTGGTTCAAGGAGCAGCATCTGAACCGGGAAGGTGAGGGTGTTCTCAGGATGGCAAGGAGAGTGAGCATGTGCTTTGGTGGAAACCTCCAGATATGATTGCCTGTCACTGTCTCACAGGCATTTTGGCTCTCCTGGCACATTAAAATAAGTGCTGCTTTGTATTATATGAGACTGCAGGTCCTAGTCTGTGTGTTTAGAGGGGTTGGGCTATCTCGGGGAAGTGCGTCTATCCAGGAGGAAGTCTCAGAATGTTCAGAGTTCCTCTGAAGTTCACGTTCTAGCTGTAGATCAAGTGCCTAAATTGGCATAAACACACGTGTTTGTTTAGGAAAGCCAAACAGTTGCATGAGGACTTGGTACAGGTAGTTCAGAGGTACATCTTTGTAAAATGTCTTAACAATTTTTCACGGGAAATTGATCTTGTACTTGGTTGCTGAGTGAAAGTTGTTTTCTTTCATTATTTAAAGGAGGAAAATAGAGGTTTCTTAGTAAGAGCAATTAGGATTTGTTGGAGGGACCAGTAAAGGAAAATATTCACCTTTGCCTCTTAGGCTGGAGTGGGGTTTCCCGAGTTGTCCTGATTCAGCCACAGGGCTACTTCAGATTAGCTTGAGATGTTGAGATGGAGAAAGAGAATTCCGAGAAAACTACTGCCACCCTTGATAAAAATCACACACAGACTCTGCAGGTTGGTAGGTGGAGGGAGAGCTGCCATACAGGAAGTGGCGCCCAGACCGCCAGCCTGAGACCCGCCCTCCCTGGGAGGTTCTTACTGCTTTAGAGGTCAGTTATTGCTGCCACTCCCACACTGCCCCAGAAGGGGGAAGGAGGGAAGGTCGTGGAGGGTTGCTTTTTCCCCTGTAATCTTGCAGTATATATGGATATTCGACTAGTCTTTCCCCAACTTCAGCCAACTGAAATGACTAAAACACTTAAGGCTTCCTAAAAGTTTGAGGCAGGAGGAGCAAAAGAGAGTAGTGAACACAGGGGGTGACATGGAACTAGATCATCTGACTTCTTAGCGGTGACCTGCAGGCCACCTCCATTTGGAGAGCACCATTTTGCAAGTCCAGCCTCGCCTGGCGGGAAGAGCTCATGCTTTCTCCTGGGACTGGCATTTGGCATCCTGAGCACCTGCTGACCGGAACGAGAAATAATCTGGTGTCTGACACCAAATGAGCTCTTAATCTTTGGCGCCAACAAGACAGCATCTAAGGACAACCACGGTGCCCCCATTGTCCGCTTAGGGAATGGACCCCTGTTGGGGTGGGAGGTAGACTTTTTGTTTTCAGAACCAACATGTCTCAAGCAGCTGTGCTTAATATATGTTTAATCCCCATCCACTCCATGGGGCAGCGTTGTCATCCGTTTCACAGGCTGGGCCCCTGAGCCGAGGAGGTTGAGCCTCCTGCCCAATCAGTAAGGGCTGTCTACACTATTAAAGTTTTTTCTTGTTTGATCCCATATGCCAGAAGTTTTAAAAATTTTCCGTAAAACAGTGGAATTCTTTTTTCCAAAATTTTACACAGAAGCCCAATATTTAAAACAAATTCAGCTGGAGCAGCTTTGAGTTTGGGGCAGGCCTGAGAGCCTAGAGTCCCACCTCCCACCTCACCATCCAGCAGCCCTCAGTACCTCAGCCTGTGTCCTGTGGAAAACACTCGGGAAGTGAGCACTGTGCCCATGTTGCCTCCACCGCATGCCCCTGCCTGGAAGGATCTGTGTGTGTGTGGTCAGGGTGGAAGGCACCTGCTTCCCCTGGACACCCTGCGCCATGCCCTGGAGACATCATCTGTCCATGCAGCCAGGCTGGGCCCAGACCGTTCCCAGAACAGCCCCCTGCGCAGCCACAAGCAGCCTCTTGGTGGTGGCTTGAGAGTTGGAACCTGGCGGCCATGCTGCCCCAGTGATACCTGCAGCTTAAAGCATGTACTCACTTTTCTCTCAGACCCTGCGGGTTCGAGGGCTCAGGTTTTTCTTTTAATGGGTCACTTTTAAAAGCAGACAGTGCTCGACTGAAAGCTAGAAGACCCTAGAAAACCACAGTTGGTTTCTGTTTCTGGCTTTTCACTTTTTCCATTCTGTGCTCTGTTATTACTGGGAGGCTCACATGAGGGTACCTGTCAGGAAAGCACCTAATATGATAGAGAGAGTTTACACAATTGGAGCGATAATGAAGGCTGCCATTACCCGGGGTCCCACTGTTCACATGAGTTTGTTGGGCACTTTCTATACATGCCCGAAACCTGCCCACTTTGGACAGTGCCCTGTTCTGCAGGTAAGGCCCTCAAGGCTCAGAAGCTCAGCAACCCAGGGCCACAAAGTACGGGAGTAGGAGGGTTTGGGTTTGACCCCAGGTCTTAGGCTGTGACAATTGTGCAGTGGGCCAGGTGACCACCCCTGAGTGTGGGAATGCAAGAACAGGTCGATAAACCTTTAGGGAGCCCAAAATTTATTTTCTTCTGGCCTTTAAACCAGATTTTTACTCCTAACATTGAAGCTTTGTTTGTTTGTTTTTTGTTTTTGTTTTTGAGATGGAGTTTTGCTCTTGTTGCCCAGGCTGGAGTGCAATGGCGCCATCTCGATCTTGGCTCACTGCAACTTCTGCCTCCCGGGTTCAAGCAATTCTCCTGCCTCAGCCTCCTGAGTAGCTGGGATTACAGGCACCTGCCACCGTGCCCGAATAATTTTTGTATTTTTAGTAGAGACGGGGTTTCACCATGTTGGTCAGGCTGGTCTCTAACTCCTGACCTCAAGTGATCTGCCCTCTTTGGTTTCCCAAAGTGTTGGAATTGACAGGTGTGAGCCACTGCGCCTGCCTGAGGCTTTTTATAATGCACTAGAAATAATGTCAGTTCAATCATTTGTGTGTTTCAGGTGACAAAGTTGTTGTCACGTACTCCAAAGGTTATCCGTGTGGTGGAAATAAGACCGCATCCTCCGTGATAGAATTGACCTGTACAAAGACGGTGGGCAGACCTGCATTCAAGAGGTCAGGAGACTGGGGGCTCAGAGCGGGACTGTGCAGTGAGCATACTGGAGGGAATTCCTCCTTGGGGTTTTCATGGGCAGGTTTTGGCTGAGTCTTAGGAGCTCAGGGCCAGAGCCGCTGATTGTGCTGTATTGGGCGGGGCTGCTCCAGGCAGGGAAGACCTCCAGATACAGTGCTGAGACACTGTTACAAGACCAGTGCAACTTCTCTGGGCTAGCTTGTCTCTTGAACTAGGTTTAGCACTGGCTGAGCAGTACTTAACTGACCTCTACCTTTGAATGTCATAGTAGAAACAAAGGGGCGTGGATTTGTCCCACCCGAGGTGTTCAAGCAGCCTGGCTGGGACCCTCGAGCAGCTGGGACCTGCATCTGGACCTGGGATGTGCTTGGATTATATTCAAGTTTTCCCGGCCACATTGCATCTGGTGCCAGGGAGAGCTTGGCCAACAGAGGGTGCATGTGAGCTGCTGTTTGTGAACAGAACTGATTCCTTCCAGACGCTGAGTTTGGAAAAGGGGTGACTCAGAAATTGCCAAAGGATTTATGAATGTATGAGTCTGAGAAGCTTAAACAAAAATCTAAAAATCTAGGAGCAAATTTTCCAGGTTTTGAATGTTGCACGGTTTACAAATTTTAAAAAATTTATATTGAATGCTTGCCTGCTTTGTCACATTACTGATGTGTGCACCACAGTCATCTTCCCTGTCCATTGTGGTGATGAAAAGAAGTGAGTAAAATAACCACCCTCGCTCCGAGCTGCCGTCAGTGTTGAGTCGGGAAATTCTGCCTAGGCCTGCGCAGCCCGGGGAGTGGGGGCCTCGGGACCCAACTGAAGTCTCGCAGCACCTTGACTGAAAGCCAGTGAGCTGCTTCAAGGGCTCCGCAGTGTTCATTGTTTTGCAGTCTTCCCTTATGTCTGGCTGGGGAAGTGACTGTAGCCTGTGCTTCCCTCCTCCTAGGTTTGATATCGACAGCTGCACTTACTACTTCAGCTGGGACTCCCGGGCTGCCTGCGCCGTGAAGCCTCAGGAGGTGCAGATGGTGAATGGGACCATCACCAACCCTATAAATGGCAAGAGCTTCAGCCTCGGAGATATTTATTTTAAGTAAGTAAAACGTTTTCCTTCTGAGCTGTGAAATGTGTTCAAAATTAAACCAGCAATGCCGCTCTTTCCCTATCGGGGAGCACTGCAGGATAAATAGGTCTGTGTTTTAGTTACTGTTGCTGGAGTCATCGTCATCTTTTGCTTAAACTGAGGAAAAGCGTTACTCAATCATTAAGTTTTAACACCAAAGATGGTGAATTCTCATGAGTGTAAAAATAAATCCCCCGTCCTTCTCCCTCTCTTCATGATAATCTCAGGGGTTGAAGCCGAAGCCTTCTGACATGTTTGAGCAGGAATCTTCTGGGCTTACCAGTGTTTAGAAAATAAGTTTCTCAGCAGTGTTACTGGGGCTGCTCTTGGGGGTGGTGGCCGAGGTGCACAGACAGGGCGAGGGCCGTGTGGTGCTGGATACGGCACCTGAGGAAGGTGGATTAGCACTCAGAGGCCAGAACTGGTTGGGGAGAAAGCCTCTTGAGAGGGAAACTGGTGTCCTCAGAATTGCTGTGGGGTCACAGACGTGCTGCCCTAGCGTGTCCGTGCTTCCTTTCCCTAGGAAAGGAAGCATCCTGGGGCCCTGCAGTGATTCTGAGGACTGAGGGTTTATGTCATGAATGCCTTCTTGAAGGACTTCCATGTCACTGTGATCTTTTCTGTCTCTTCAGGCTGTTCAGAGCCTCTGGGGACATGAGGACCAATGGGGACAACTACCTGTATGAGATCCAACTTTCCTCCATCACAAGCTCCAGAAACCCGGCGTGCTCTGGAGCCAACATATGCCAGGTGAAGCCCAACGATCAGCACTTCAGTCGGAAAGTTGGAACCTCTGACAAGACCAAGTACTACCTTCAAGGTAATCCGTGGCTTCCCACAAAGTTCCACATTTAACTTCCTCCAAGGAAGGGGATTAAAATTTTCAACTAACTCCCTTCAGTTGAAATCTCGGACCACTTTTAAAACAAAAACCTTGGTCTAATTCTTTACTTTGTTATGAATTTCTTGACAGTGGATTGAGCGATACGTGTCAGAACTAAGCATTTCACTGTAGGCAAATTGTGTCTTAGTTATCAAGTAAATGTACAAAAAAACTAAAACCTGGTCTGATCCAGTGGTTCTGAGGTTGGGTGGAGGCTGAGCTGTGCACAGTCAGAATTGCCTTTGATTTGGTTTTAACCATGACACTTCCTTATTTTGGAATGCCAAATAATATTAGAGAAGGGTAAGAGATTTTATATTTGTAAGAAGGATGAAAGGAAACTGGCCTAAATGTTAGGATGTAGGTTAAAATCAACCAGGACGCACATAGGGCAGAGTCCAGGGTGTGAAGGAAGGTTTTAAACTGGCACTAATAAGGGTGTTGCCCTTTGTTCCCTCACATAATCGTGAAAGGCTGCTTTTGTTTTGAACAGCTAGTCTTAACTATATACCTTTCATAATTTGATTTTTGAACCGTGTGTGGATGTAATAACTCTTTAAAAAAAAATGAAGTGTGTTTAAAGAAAACCCCAGCCTGCTCTGATGTCAAAGAGCTGCCGATCATGTCCTCTGGGAGGGGAGAGTAGTGATAGCTGAGAAGGAGCAGGTGCTCTGTGCCCTGGTGCTGAGCACATTGCCGAGAAGGAGCAGGTGCTCCGTGCCCTGGTGCTGAGCTCATCGCCGAGAAGGAGCAGGTGCTCCGTGCCCTGGTGCTGAGCGCATCGCCGAGAAGGAGCGGGTGCTCTGTGCCCTGGTGCTGAGCGCATCGCTGAGAAGGAGCGGGTGCTCTGTGCCCTGGTGCTGAGCGCATCGCTGAGAAGGAGCGGGTGCTCTGTGCCCTGGTGCGGCTGAGAAGGAGCGGGTGCTCCGTGCCCTGGTGCTGAGCACATCGCCGAGAAGGAGCAGGTGCTCCGTGCCCTGGTGCTGAGCACATCGCCGAGAAGGAGCAGGTGCTCCGTGCCCTGGTGCTGAGCGCATCGCCGAGAAGGAGCAGGTGCTCCGTGCCCTGGTGCTGAGCGCATCGCCGAGAAGGAGCAGGTGCTCCGTGCCCTGGTGCTGAGCGCATCGCCGAGAAGGAGCAGGTGCTCCGTGCCCTGGTGCTGAGCGCATCGCCGAGAAGGAGCAGGTGCTCTGTGCCCTGGTGCTGAGCGCATCGCCGAGAAGGAGCAGGTGCTCCGTGCCCTGGTGCTGAGTGCATCTCCACGACGGCAGCACCTGATGGAGGGAAGCTGGGTCAGCATCGCTGCTCCTGGTCACAGATTGTAGACAGCGCCCTGGTGCATCTGCTCATAGCACCTGTGGCCCCTGAATAGAACTGGGAAAGTGAATGTTCTGCTTTCTGGGTGAGTTGATGATGGGAAAGTTGATCAGCCTCATTCACTTGCATAACTCCACAGCACGGAGCTAGCACTCTGTGTTTCTCTGTTCTCTGCCTTCCTCACACTTCGGTGAATCCTTCAGTCATTCAGAATCAGATGTTGCATGTCACAGGTTGTGCCTTCTCTTGCTGTCCTCTTTCCCAGTGCTCGGTAAATCTTGATTAAAGGAAGGAAGGAAGGATTGTTTCAGAAGCCTTCAGGGGCCCTATCATGCAGAGAAGGAAAGTCTAGGCTCTCTCTGACACAGCTTGAAGATGTCTGAGAGGCTCCCATGTACCAGGGTAGCCTTGCAAGCTGCTGCTCCTACACATGCCTCAGCCATCAGGTTATTCACTAGTTCCCAAAGTCACCCTGTAACCTGGTGGGTTTACATATGCTGCTCTTGGTGCTGGAATGCCTTGGCCCACCTTCCTCATCCTTCCAAACCTACTTCTAGTGCCCCTCCTGGGAAGGCCCACCTTCTCATAGCAGGGTGACACCGCTGGTGTGTCTGCAGGATTCCAAACCTACCTCCAGTGCCCCTCCTGGGAAGGCCCACCTTCTCATAGCAGGGTGACACCGCTGGTGTGTCTGCAGGATTCCAAACCTACCTCCAGTGCCCCTCCTGGGAAGGCCCACCTTCTCATAGCAGGGTGACACCGCTGGTGTGTCTGCAGGATTCCAAACCTACCTCCAGTGCCCCTCCTGGGAAGGCCCACCTTCTCATAGCAGGTGATACTGCTGGTGTGTCTGCAGGAGTCTTCACGCTCCATCGCGCAGCACTGGCCACTTGTCTGGTTACACATAAGACCTCCACGTTCACAAGTGGTATGTCTAGCAGACCTTTGAGGATCCCCAGCTTTCAGAGTGCTTGTGCATGCGCATTTAGTCATTCTTGGTAAATAAAATCCCTTTCAGACCTTTTCACTTTCTTCATTCACCAGCCCCAGGAAGTAGCTTTAGTTTTAAGACATCTTTTCATCTTTCATGAAGAAATGAAGTTTCTATCTCTTCCTGAGGCTTGCCATTCCTTCGGGAGGGCAGAGCTGTCTCTCATCAGGACGTGGAGCTGCTGGGCGGTTTGCTTCCCCACATCAGCCCTGTGGAACAGTCCATTCAGCAGCCCCTGCTTCAGCTACTCCCAAGCGAGAATGTGGGGCCCTCCCGGAGCGGAGCCGCACCGCCTGTCTCTGGGCCCCATCTGTGTGTGGACATGTCCGTCTCCTACCCTGCACTCTCGCCTCTGCATTCCTGGCACCCAGCAGCACCAGCCACAAAGATTTTCAGCCAGTGACAAAGGTTGGGAGCAGCAGAGTTCATGCAAGGAGTCCACACAAGGGTTCCTCACTTCTGACAGCAACAGCACACTGAAGGGGTTCCCAAGCCAACTTCAGATTTACCCTTTCACCATAACTCACAGAGCTCCCTGGAAGCAGTTACACTTATAGTTATGATTTACTGCAGCAAAAAGATACAGGTTAAAATCAACCAAGATGCACACAGGGCAGAGTCCAGGAGGGAATTGAATGCAGAGTTCCCACCAGCTCTCCCGTGGAATCAGATGTGTTGTGTTCCCAGCACCCACGTGTGGCAGTGCACATGGAGTATCATCAGCCGGAGGTGCTTCCCCAAGCCTTGGTGTCCAGAGTTTTTCCCGGGGCTCTGACATGGGCAGGATTGGTCCATTGATCACTCAGGTACTGCATGGCCAGCCCCTGCTCCGTATCCTGTCATTAGCCAAGGAGCAAGGCCAGCCCTCTTTTTGGGCAAGGTTAAATTCTTGCCTTCCCTCTTGTTGCCGTTGCTTCTGTTCCTGGAGGAGCTCCTGGCACAGTGATGGGGTCTCAGGCCTCCACCTTACTGCACGATGAAGAGTTTGAGGAGATCAAGAAGGAGACTGGCTTTTCCCACAGTCAAATCACACGTCTGTACAGCCGGTTCAGCAACCTGGACAAAGGAGAGAACAGGACGATTTCCAGGGGATTCCAGAACTTGCCATCAACCCAGTGGGGGACTGGATCATCAATGCCTTCCTTCCAGAGGGAGAGGACCAGGTAAACTTCCGTGGATTCCTGCAAACTCTGGCTCATTTCCAAACCATTGAGGATAATGAAAAGAGCAAAGTTGTGAATGGACCTGAACCACTCAACAGCCGAAGCAACAAACTGCAGTTTGCTTTTCGACTATATGATTTGGATAAAGATAACAAGATCTCTCGTGATGAGCTGTTAAGGGTGCTGTGCATGATGGTCCAAATAAATATCTCAGATAAGCAGCTGGGCAGTATCGCAGACAGGACCATTCAGGAGGCTGATCAGCATGGGGACAGTGCCATATCTTTATCACAGACTTTGCTAAGGTTTTGGAGAAGGTGGATGTAGAACAGAAAATGAGCATCTGATTTCTTCACTAAAGGACAGACAGCAAACTATTCCTTGCAGTCTAGTATTTAAGTACTGGAACTTGACAGTCCTCCTGTCCACCAGCCCTACCTCCACCCCATCATTCCCCTTCTCCCAAAGTACTACTGCTGTTGCATAACAACCCCAAATATGTTCTGTCAACACAAACCTGCTTTTGGTCTATAAACAGGGCGTTACAGAATGGTACACCCAGTCTATTTCTTCTCAGTATCCATTCGCCAGTTCTTCATTTATAAATATCGTCTTCCTCTGTTCTGCTGCTGAATGCCACACATCCATCCAGTCTGAGAAAGTAAGATAGGGAATCCTGCCGAGGAACAAGCCAGCAAAGCTCTTTCACTGGATGTAGACTGCACCTGCTGCCTTCCCTCTGGCGAGTCTGCCAGCATGCTTCTCCATCCTTTTTATATGTCCTTTGCTTCCCACTTCTGTGTACATTCAACATACTGTTCACGTAGTCATGCAGTCTTTCTGCTTTTTGTGAAGCCTCAGAATCTCCTCTGTTCTACTTGGCACCCCAAGCTATGCCTGGTATTGTATTTCTGACTTGGCTCGATAGTTCGGTGGTCTGGCAGTTTTTATCTACCTTCATTATTAAAAGGCCCTCTGGAGCTGGGCGTGGTGGCTCACGCCTGTAATCCCAGCACTGTGGGAGGCTGAGGTGGGCAGATCACGAGGTCAGGAGATCGAGACCATCCTGGCTAACACGGTGAAACCCCGTCTTTACTAAAAATACAAAAAATTAGCCGGGCGTGGTGGCGGGTGCCTGTAGTCCCAGCTACTCGGGAGGCTGAGGCAGGAGAATGGCGTGAACCTGGGAGGCAGAGCTTGCAGTGAGCCAAGATCGTGCCACTACACTCCAGCCTGGGCGACAGAGCGAGACTCCATCTCAAAAAAAAAAAAAAAAAAAGGCCCTCTGGGATGTTGCCTCTCCAGGAGCTTTTTGGTAACCAACACTTCTCTCGGGAGTATGAGATCATCCTCTGCACTCTTCTCTGTCATCAAAGGGCTGCTGGGTGGAGATATTCTTGAAAGGTGGCCTTGGTGAGAGGTGTGGAGTCAAGTCTTTTAGGTTGCTTGCCCACGTCACTCTACCTCTGGCCTCTGATTCTCAACTTTGTACCTATGGGGCGTCTCTTGTTAGTGCAGTGTTGACTATTCAAAAAGTAGCAATATGCCTGCAGATTTGCTTAGTCTTGGGACACGGTTACCACCAGAACGGCTGCTCAGACAATATGCTTGGGGACTTTCTCATGGCTTTTTGAACAAGGAGGCTGCGCACCCTGTGAAGCCTCCTGCATTCACACCTCTGCTGCATGGTTTATGCCTCAGTGTTATGTGCACTGGAATGCTTTTCACTATACGTTTCCAAGTTAGAAAGATTAGTGTTATGGAAGTGCCTAATGTATCCTAGTCCAAAATATTTAAAGATTGTTCTCTGTGTCTTGAAGTTTTGCACAAAATTCTTTATGAATTTTACACTTGGCAAATGTTAATGCTAGAAGCCATAGTCCGCTTCTTATACAAGTCCAAAGCGTTGACTGTTGTATCATTAGCTCCCTGGTTACACTGGTTTCCCAGCTCCTTGTGTAGACCACTGCTAATCCCTTAGAAACAAGAGGTCTGGCACTAGTAGCACAACCTAAGGTGGCATTCCAAGTCTTTAAGCAAGTCACAGCAACTTTTCTGCCAAAGTCAGCTTAGTTTAGACTTCAGTGAATCAGGCTGTTGCCATCCTAATGTATGTCTCTGTGAGTCTGTTCATTCACATATCTGCCGTTGGCTGACTTTCTTGACTCGCTGCTTGCTTGCTTGTTTCCTTGCTTTGGAAAGCTATTGAAGATGTGTACATAATTCTTTAGGAAGGGGATTGCTAAAAAATACACTGCAAAGCGATGGAAAACAGTGGAGAACAGGGGAGTAGCCAGGCTGGATGGCTCAAATATAAATGAATGAGGAATTCTTTATGAAGTGTCAGTTGGACTTTGTGATTGAGTGATGTAATACAGGAATTATATAGAAAGGGAAGAATATCTGATACTGATCTGTTAGATACTTCAGAGGCTCCTTGATTTGCATATTTAAAGTTCCTAAAATTGTAGCTTTTCCCTTCTTTTGGCTGTACAGCAGACTGTTTTAATCCACGGTTGTGCCTTATTGTTCCATTAAAATTGTGTCTTCAGTCCATCAATAAATACTCGTGGTTAAAACAAAACAAAAATTCTTTACTGCATGCTGACTAAGGGCAGGGCTCTATCCATGTGCATCGAGTGGCCTCGTAAGCTGTGAACAGAGTGCCTGTGGGACGTGGGATGAAGTCTCTTCTGCCTGATTTTAAGTCTTTGCAAACTTTTTAGACCGTAAGGAGCTAAGCTCAGTCTGCTCGTGAAAAATGATGGTGACATGCCATGTGTGCCCTTCCCGTTTGACAGACGGCGATCTCGATGTCGTGTTTGCCTCTTCCTCTAAGTGCGGAAAGGATAAGACCAAGTCTGTTTCTTCCACCATCTTCTTCCACTGTGACCCTCTGGTGGAGGACGGGATCCCCGAGTTCAGTCACGAGACTGCCGACTGCCAGTACCTCTTCTCTTGGTACACCTCAGCCGTGTGTCCTCTGGGGTGAGTATGACATCCGGAAGCTTAGCACTTGTACCCCACATCTTCCCTTAAGAATAAGTGTATGTGTGTTTTTTCCCCAATGTTTTCTTGTGAAATATTCAGAACATGCACCAAAAAATAGAGAAAATGATAGAAGCGGACCCCACATAGTCAGTGCCCCGCTCCGTTGCTTGTCAGCATCCTGCCACTGATTTTTGGTCCATGGCTGCGTCACCTCCCACCACCCCCAGCAGCAGTGCCATTGTTTCCTTTGTGTGTACCATGCCCCGAATAGGGTCCAGTCAGGGCACCCCAGCTCTGTCCCTCTACCCTGTTCCCATTGCTGCCTCCCTCTCCTTAGCTCCTGGGAGGCAAGTACTGGTGGTGCCTCCTCTGTGTAATCCTGGAACATCTTTTGTGTCGTAATACAAATGATTGTTTGGTAAAGTTTCACTTTGATTTGAGTGCAGTATTTTTACTTTGATTTGAGTGCAGTATTTTTACGTTTGTTTGAATGAATGAAAAGCTTACTCTCCAGATTTTGAGAATCAGCATGAGAACAGAGGGAGCAGTTTCTGCTCTGAAGGAAGGTGGCACCTCCATTGGTTGTCTTGTGTCCCACAGCCGTTTTATACTTTGCCACGAATAACATGTTGTCAGTTGCTTTCCTCTTGGATTTATTTTCTTCTTATGTTACCCCCACCCATCATTGTATTTATATTTATTTTTATTTTTTATTTTTTTGGGATGGACTCTTGCTCTGTCACTCAGGCTGGAGTGCAGTGGTGCGGTCTTGGCTCGTTGCAACCTCTGCCTCCTGGTTCAGACGATTCTCCTGCCTCAGCCTCCCAAGTAGCTGGGATTGCAGGCATGTGTCATTATGCCCTGCTAATTTTTGTATTTTTGGTAGAGATGGGGTTTCACCATGTTGACCAGGCTGGTCTTGAACTCCTCACCTCAGATAATCTGCCTGCCTTGGCCTCCCAAAGTGCTGGCATTACAAGCGTGAGCTGCCATGCCCGGCCTGGCCCACCATTTTACATAAGCTTTTCATTCTCTGTCCTGAGACTTTAAGATTGGGGGAACATGAATTCTTGCCATGTAATTGTTTCCTTCATGTCCTGAAAAAGGGACCGTAGAGTCAGCAGACGACAGTGGTGGGGGTCATGGGGGAATGAAGATCACACATTTTACATCTTAAATCAGCACTCCCCCTGCCCACCCTTAACAGTGGACATGAGCTCAGCAAAAACCAGCTTTGTCCTGTGCTGTTCAGGCCTGTGTACTTAGGGATCCTCAGCTGCACAGTCAGGGAAAGAGGCTTTTGGTTGAAATTTCACTTGTGGTATTTTCAGCTTTTGAATGTTTATGGTGTTCCGGTGACGTCATTACAAAATGAAAGGATTGAAACTGGAAGTTCTTCCTGAAAGAAGCAAAATGTGAATTTTTATAAAAGATAAAACCCAGAAGTGAACTTTCCCTGCATTCTCTGTCATGGAGAGGCTACAGCTGCCATGAGATGAATCCTGCCTCCTGACATGGCAGCTGGTCTTCTGTGTGGGTTTGAGGGACCAGGCCAGGCTAGGATCCCGTCCATGTTGAATGTTTAGAGTTCGACTTCTGTGAGTAGGAAAAGCACTGTTTATAGGGCTTTGGTGTTTGACTCTAAAACCAGAGAGGAAGATTCTCCAGGAAACCTCGGTTTCATGATGTTCAGAACATCAGGATTGGGAGCTGTTTAAATCCCTTAACACACTGACAAGGTAATAAGGACTTTAAAAAAAAGAAACAGAAGTTGAAACCAAGAGCAAAAACTCAGATGGTGGATTTTGAGGGATGCAGGTACCACCCGGGGGTGACGTGGAATAGTGCCTGAGATTTTTTTTTCCCCAAATGTTATCAGTGTTGTACATTGTAGAATCATGTAAATATGGCCAGACGCGGTGGCTCACGCTTGTAATCCCAACATTTTGGGAGGCTAAGGTGGGCGGATCACTTGAGGTCAGGAGTTCTAGACCAGCCTGGGCAACATGGTGAAACCCCGTCTCTACTAAAAATACAAAAATTAGCCAGGTGTGGTGGTGCACACCTGTAATCGCAGCTACTCAGAAGGCTGAGGCAGGAGAATTGCTTGAACCTGGAAGGTGGAGGTTGCAGTGAGCCGAGATGGCGTCACTGTACTGCAGCCTGGGTGACAGAGCGAGACTAGATCTCAGGAAAAAAAATCATGTAACTATAACAAACAGGTAGCAATGTTCGCCCTAATAGATTACCATTTTTAGTTCTTTTAGCTATTTCTTCTGGAATTTACCTCAGTATTTTAAATTAACATCCTATATCTCATCTGTTGACTTCCTGCAATAGTAGATGAAGATAGAGCTGTCTTACACCTTCCTCCTACTTTACAAAAATGGTTCTTTCACAATATTTGATTAAAGTCAAAAAATTTACACAAAGCTAAAAGACAGGCATCTACAGATGGAAGGGGCAGGCTATGTGCCCAGCACAGTTATTGATGACAAGACCCACCCACTTATGAAATACCAGGAGAGCAGATACAAAGAAAAGACTGTAAAAGCTTTAGGGGAGGCTAATTTGTTGTATTAGAAAATAATTCAAGAAAGGTTAAAATACTTTAAATCCTCACTTTATATCATCGATAGGTTCTTGGAAACTGCAACTTTATGTGAAATGATGTATAATGAAACCAGTTTTTTTTCCTCAGCTTTATGTTATGTTATGTTATGTTATGTTATGTTATGTTATGTTATGTTATTTTTTTGAGACAGAGTCTCGCTCTCGCCCAGGCTGGAGTGCAGTGGCGCGATCTCGGCTCACTGCAAGCTCTGCCTCCCAGGTTCACGCCATTCTCCTGCCTCAGCCTCCCAAGTAACTGGGACTACAGGGGCCCGCTACCATGCCCGGCTAATTTTTTTGTATTTTTAGTAGAGACGGGGTTTCACCGTGTTAGCCAGGTTGATCTCGATCTCCTGATCTTGTGATCCGCCTGCCTCAGCCTCCCAAAGTGCTGGGATTACAGGCGTGAGCCACCGTGCCCGGCCTCATCAACTTTATAATGAGACAGTTTTGAAGGAAATGATGTCATTCGAGGACCTCCCATAGTCGCTTCACGGAAGGTTGCAGTTTGAAGGAAACTGTCAGCGACCCTATGAGGACACACTGTACTGGACAACAGTGGTGTCTAAGCTGAGAGGGGTGGCAGAGTTCCCAGCTTTTAAAATTTCTTACAGTGATAGCATCATATGAAAGTAAAACCATTTTCTTGAAAGAAATGAAGGAAGGAAGAAAAGGTAGAGTTCCTAATTGTTTGGAAGACATACTGTTAGACTTCCTGTCTTAGTATGCATGCCAGTATTTTAAGAATAACCACTAAAATAATATAAATATAGTATGTAACTTCCAAAACAGCGGAGAAGAAAAGGAGAAGTAAAAATACTTAAATCCCCAAAGAAGACAAGCAAGGAGAAAAATAAAACAAAAATCAGATAAGTAGAAATTTCAGCCCAGTATGGTAGAAATAAATCTAAATATATCTATAATCATAAGTATAGCTTGACTAAACTTGTCAGCTAAAAAACAAGTTGTCAAACTGGATTTCAAAAACAACTCTGTTTACAGGGAACATGCCTAAAACAAGGATACAGAAAAGACCAAAGTCAAAGGAGAAGAAAAGATATACCAGAAAATAATCTGAAAGAAAGCTGCAGTAGTTATGTTAATATAAGATAAAATAGGATATTAAAGAAAAATATTAGGGATAAAGAATAAAGAGGGTCATTATAATTTTAAAAGGGCTAATTTCCTAGGAAGATACAAGAATCCTAAACTTCCATCTACCTAATAAAAAAGCCTTGATATGTAAAGCAGAAATTGACAAAACCACACACAAGAAACAAGCCTAGTGATTGCTGGGTTGAGTAGACAAAGAGTAAAGCTTTTTTTGGAAGATTGAGACAGCACAGTGAAAAGCAAGATTTAATAGACATGCGCAGAACACTGTTCCCTGCGTTGGGAGAACACTGTTTGCCCAAGCTTACATCAAACACTTAGAAAACTTTAGCAAAAATTAACCACAAAGCAGGCAAGTCAGCAATTTCCCTTTTTTTTTTTTTTTTTTTTTTTTTTTTTTTTTTTTTTTTTTTTTTTTTTTTTTTTTTTTTTTTTTTTTTTTTTTTTTTTTTTGGAGACAGAGACTTGCTCTTTTGCCCAGGCTGGAGTGCAGTGGTGCGATCTTGGCTCACTGCAACCTCTGCTTCCCAGATTCAAGTGATTCTCATGCCTCAGCCTCCTGAGTAGCTGGGATTATGGGCGTGTGCCACTACCTCCTGGCTAATTTTTGTATTTTTAGTAGAGATGGGGTTTCACCATGTTGGCCAGGCTGGTCTCAAACTCCTGACCTCAGGTGATCCACCTGCCTCAGCCTCCTAGAGTGCTGGGATTACAGGCATGAGCCACTGTGCTCGGCCTAAGTCAGCAGATTTCTGACTGATGCAATTAACTACATACATGATGCAATTAAGTTAGGAACCAAGAACAAACAACTGAAAAATAGAAATACGTTTGAAGACTAAAACTCACTTCTGAATAATCTATGGTCCAAAGAAGAAATCAAAGGTAGAAAGTAAAATACGCTTAGAACTGAGTGATGATGTGTCTCTTGGATGCATTTCGAGTGGTCCTGAGTGGCTGGAGCTGCTTCTGGGTGAGTGGGTTTCTGGCTTGGAGGGAGAGGTCTGCATAGCTCTCAGACCTGTCTGTGGAGTGTGGTGGTGCTTCTTTCTGAGCAGAGGTCAACCCTTGCAGGCCCACCTAGAACTGGACGCCAGGCTGTCCCTGTGGTTTCTTGTCTTGCTGATGTTTTAGATTGTTTGGCTTAAGCTGAACTTTGAGAGCGGCAGCCCTTGCGGCTGGGCCGCGGGTTGGCCTGTTGCCCTCAACCTCAGTTCTTTGAGCAGCCGGCATCTTCAGCAGCACAAGATGCGCCCCGCTGGGGTTGCCTCTTATCACCAGCAGCACAGGAGGAATTTCTGTTTATGTGATCCTGTTCCTGTGTGTGTGGCCCCAAGTGACAGAGGGCCAGAGAGATTAGAAGTGTCAAGTCGTTACACTCTTGAGTGTCATCTTGCTCCCTAAGCGCAAAGGGAAGTCTCCGTGGTTGTTTCTCATTTTCTATTATTGTCCCAACTCTGCTTGAGTGTTCGATGTCATGGAAACGCACTGCTTTTTCCCACAAGTGTGCATGTGGGTCTTGGGTGGGAATGGTGAACTCCGCTGGTGAGGCAGCTGGTGTGCTCAAGAGCCTTCTCCTGGGATGGAGCAGGCTTGGAGAGAGGAGACCCGTCGGGGGCTGTGCTGGGCTCTGCTGCTCCCTGGGCCCCACCCTGGTCTGTGGCCGCCCCTGGGCCCCGTCCTGGCCTGTTTCTAAGGCCCCCTGGGCCCCTTTCGTGTGGAGATGGTGTCTCATGGTGGGCTGCGCTCACTGCTTCCAGAAGAAATTCTGAGAGGAAAGAGCTCTGACCCTGGAGAGAAGTGTGGTGCTTCGGGACAGCCTCTGCCCCAGCCTAGTCCTGCCGTGGATTGGGCCACCTAGAGGGGGCCGCGTCCCTCCTGCCTGTCTCCTCTGTGTTTGGGTGAATGATAGTTCATGGAGCTGGAAGCAGTGCCTTCTTGTCTGCTTTCTGACAACCCTGCCACAAACTCATCATCAGGAACTTTTTGCAGCCCTCTTCCATGTGGAGTGGGACTTGTGGCCTTGTTTTCTGGGCAGGAGTAAGAATCACATGGTGTTGGGAAAGTCAGAGCTGCTCTTGCCTTGGGGACTCAGGTCTCAGGTTGTGGCTGTGGCAGCAGGACCACCCTGTGACACGGCTCCTTTTCTGTGACGTCCTTGCAGGGTGGGCTTTGACAGCGAGAATCCCGGGGACGACGGGCAGATGCACAAGGGGCTGTCAGAACGGAGCCAGGCAGTCGGCGCGGTGCTCAGCCTGCTGCTGGTGGCGCTCACCTGCTGCCTGCTGGCCCTGTTGCTCTACAAGAAGGAGAGGAGGTAAGCGGGTGGCAGGGCGAGGTGGGGCGGGTGGATGCATGCCTCCCATAGCTAATCTTGGGGTCAGTTTTGTGGGGTTTTATTTATTTGTTTTTAAGCCCTACAGCAGCGAAGGCTCGAGGTTCTTAGTCCAAAACTCTCTGGAAGCAGTCCCCAGCGTTGTGGTTTTTAAATGCCTGCATTTCTGTCTGACCAAGGCCGAGGCCCTCGCACATCACCCGTGCCTGCGGCTTCTAGGACCGTGGTCCTTTGTGTCCAAAGATGAGTAGAACATTAAACGGCACCTTTCATGGGTGCCTTTTCCCACTGAGCAGCTGACCCCTCTGCCCTCCTCACATCATAAATGCAGGAGTTTATTAAGCGCCTGCTATGTACCAGGTATGATGCCATCCTTTTGCGCCACTTTGCTGGGTGAAAGGACTCTCCATGTGACGGTCAAGCAGATTTTCACGTCAGGCGTCAGTGTTAGTGGCTCTGACCTGGGGGCAGGAGCTGGCCAGCTCAGGCGTTCCCTGCTGCCACTGTCATTTGCCAGCTGAGCCACAGGCCAATGAGAGAGGTGGTCAGAAAGTACCAACCATGGAGGTTGCAGTGAGCCAAGATCTCACCACTGCACTCTAGCCTGGGCAACACAGTGAGACTCTGTCCAAAAAAAAAAAAAAAGTACCGATTGTGGCCCTCTACACCCAAAATGCAGAATGGGGCAGAAGAAGGTCTGGGCCGGGAAGGGCATGTGATGTCTGTCTCTGCGAGCCACCATTGGGCAGGCTTAGTGGCGACGGACTGGTGTGGTCCTGTTAGTCATGTGAAAAAGTCCTTGCCCTAATGTTAAGTTGCTCTAGAGGGCCCTCTGCTGTTGGATTCCAAAGCCCATCTTCTTTCCACTCAATCACAACAAATACATTAGGGTATATATAACCTGTCACGGCTACTCATTTGTCATTCAGAATGTGGGAGAAATGCAGCCACCACCAGCCCCCTGGTGGTGCAGATGGGGGTGGGGCTGGCGGGGGTGGGGCTCCTGCCCATGCCCTCTCTACACTGGAGTAATTATTGTCTCCTTTTTTTTTATAGGGAAACAGTGATAAGTAAGCTGACCACTTGCTGTAGGAGAAGTTCCAACGTGTCCTACAAATACTCAAAGGTAATTTTCTGTGGCGAGTCTCTTGAAGGCCTGCCTCCCCGGCCCCCTGTGCTGCGCTGTCCATGTCGTTCTCATCAGGGGTGCCAAGGAAAGCAGTCACAGGCTGACTGGAATCCAGAAAGGAAAGCAACACCCGTTGCCTCAGCCACTTACGCCAGCACATTTTTTTGTTATTTTTTTCCCTCAAGTTTCTCTCGTGGTTACAACTGATTTCCTTGAAGTATTTAATAATTAGGTTGTTTCCACTGTTTTTGGCTGTTCTTTAAAAAAAAAACAAAACACACACACACACAGTAGTGAAGATAGTTGTGCATGTAGCATTTGGATGATTTCTTTCAGGTAAATTTGCAGAAAAGAGGCATTATCTGGATCAAAGGACATAATGTTTGTGGTCTCGATGGGTAATGATGAATTGCTCTCTAAAACTAGGCTTTTGACTGGAGTCCCTCCTTTGACATTCCTCCCCTGCCATGCAGTGGGCACCTTTCAGTCTATGAGTAGCCCGGAAGAGCCCCTTCTCCCCCAGCTGCGCTGGGGGATCACTGGTCTGCTTTTCGGTCCAGGCCATCCCGAACGCCTTCTGCTTGGTCCCACCCTTGGCTGTGAGACTCCTGCCAAATGACCCCACTGCCACCCTCCCAAACCCTCCTGCCTTGGTGCAGTCTCATTAGGAACAGGAAGGTGTTGCCAGCCCTCGTCTTCCTTTCCCTGGGAACTGGAGATGCAGTGACTGTGAGGACAGTGGGCCAGTTCTTCCCCAGCTCGTGCCAGCAGAGAGCATCCCTGATGTGGTGGATGGTGGAGCAGAATGGGGTCTCTTAGGGGGCTCACGTGGTCTCTGCTGTTGATCCCTGGCAGGTGAATAAGGAAGAAGAGACAGATGAGAATGAAACAGAGTGGCTGATGGAAGAGATCCAGCTGCCTCCTCCACGGCAGGGAAAGGAAGGGCAGGAGAACGGCCATATTACCACCAAGTCAGTGAAAGCCCTCAGCTCCCTGCATGGGGATGACCAGGACAGTGAGGATGAGGTTCTGACCATCCCAGAGGTGAAAGTTCACTCGGGCAGGGGAGCTGGGGCAGAGAGCTCCCACCCAGTGAGAAACGCACAGAGCAATGCCCTTCAGGAGCGTGAGGACGATAGGGTGGGGCTGGTCAGGGGTGAGAAGGCGAGGAAAGGGAAGTCCAGCTCTGCACAGCAGAAGACAGTGAGCTCCACCAAGCTGGTGTCCTTCCATGACGACAGCGACGAGGACCTCTTACACATCTGACTCCGCAGTGCCTGCAGGGGAGCACGGAGCCGCGGGACAGCCAAGCACCTCCAACCAAATAAGACTTCCACTCGATGATGCTTCTATAATTTTGCCTTTAACAGAAACTTTCAAAAGGGAAGAGTTTTTGTGATGGGGGAGAGGGTGAAGGAGGTCAGGCCCCACTCCTTCCTGATTGTTTACAGTCATTGGAATAAGGCATGGCTCAGATCGGCCACAGGGCGGTACCTTGTGCCCAGGGTTTTGCCCCAAGTCCTCATTTAAAAGCATAAGGCCGGACGCATCTCAAAACAGAGGGCTGCATTCGAAGAAACCCTTGCTGCTTTAGTCCCGATAGGGTATTTGACCCCGATATATTTTAGCATTTTAATTCTCTCCCCCTATTTATTGACTTTGACAATTACTCAGGTTTGAGAAAAAGGAAAAAAAAACAGCCACCGTTTCTTCCTGCCAGCAGGGGTGTGATGTACCAGTTTGTCCATCTTGAGATGGTGAGGCTGTCAGTGTATGGGGCAGCTTCCGGCGGGATGTTGAACTGGTCATTAATGTGTCCCCTGAGTTGGAGCTCATTCTGTCTCTTTTCTCTTTTGCTTTCTGTTTCTTAAGGGCACACACACGTGCGTGCGAGCACACACACACATACGTGCACAGGGTCCCCGAGTGCCTAGGTTTTGGAGAGTTTGCCTGTTCTATGCCTTTAGTCAGGAATGGCTGCACCTTTTTGCATGATATCTTCAAGCCTGGGCGTACAGAGCACATTTGTCAGTATTTTTGCCGGCTGGTGAATTCAAACAACCTGCCCAAAGATTGATTTGTGTGTTTGTGTGTGTGTGTGTGTGTGTGTGTGTGTGTGTGAGTGGAGTTGAGGTGTCAGAGAAAATGAATTTTTTCCAGATTTGGGGTATAGGTCTCATCTCTTCAGGTTCTCATGATACCACCTTTACTGTGCTTATTTTTTTAAGAAAAAAGTGTTGATCAACCATTCGACCTATAAGAAGCCTTAATTTGCACAGTGTGTGACTTACAGAAACTGCATGAAAAATCATGGGCCAGAGCCTCGGCCCTAGCATTGCACTTGGCCTCATGCTGGAGGGAGGCTGGGCGGGTACAGCGCGGAGGAGGAGGGAGGCCAGGCGGGCATGGCGTGGAGGAGGAGGGAGGCCGGGCGGTCACAGCATGGAGGAGGAGGGAGGCGCTGCTGGTGTTCTTATTCTGGCGGCAGCGCCTTTCCTGCCATGTTTAGTGAATGACTTTTCTCGCATTGTAGAATTGTATATAGACTCTGGTGTTCTATTGCTGAGAAGCAAACCGCCCTGCAGCATCCCTCAGCCTGTACCGGTTTGGCTGGCTTGTTTGATTTCAACATGAGTGTATTTTTTAAAATTGATTTTTCTCTTCATTTTTTTTTCAATCAACTTTACTGTAATATAAAGTATTCAACAATTTCAATAAAAGATAAATTATTAATTGGGTGTTACCATTTTTTCCTTGATAGTGAGACGTTCCCGAGCGAGTTACCCATCTGCCTGCCTGTCTTTTCTTTCTGTTAAGTGACTGAATTTGGGTTTTAACTCTGGTGTTCTCGTTGACCCTTTATGAGGCAGCACTTTCATTTTTCTCCAGAGTCTCCTGGTCGTAGGTGTTAACTTTGGGTCCAATCTGCCTTCCCTTGGCTCTTTCTAGATCCGATTTCTTTACCTTCTCCAGGCCAACCTCGGGGTGTGGTCCTGTTCATCAAAACAATGAACATGGAGTTTAGAGTCCAGTGAGTCAATAAAGCTTTTTTTTGTGCAACCTGATCTAACATGGAGATGTTTTCTCTTGAGTAAACTCACTGAGTTTTCCATCTTAAATTACTCAGCAGTGACTGAGAGCTACCTGCATGGAAGCAGGAAGTTACTCCAGTGTTATAAACAAACTTCTTAGACTCAACATCCTATTCTCCATCCCTTTTTTTTTCCTGTAGAGTCCAAAAACCTCAACCGTCTCATTTTTAAATTATCCAATTGGAGTTACCTTTTTAAAAAAGTTATTCTTAAGGACTTTCCAATACCTCTCCTGAGGAAGACATGTCAGGTCTTCTAAAAGTTTACATTATGACCAAAGAAAGATGCTGGTCCTCAGGCATTCTACCCAGGGGGCTGTTCTCCAGGCCATTCCCACCTCCTGCTAAGACCATGGGGAGCCCTCTCTGTAAGGAGGGGCATATGCAGGGACCTGCCCATCCCCTTGGTAAGCTGGATGGCAAAAAGGCATGTTGTCTGCACCACTGGCTGCCTGCTAATGTCGCTGTCAGTGGGGAAGGAGAAGTGACAACACGTTTGAGTGCATTTGCTTTGACTCTTAGAAACCCAAGCCTCTGAAAAAAGAGTAACTACTTGCCAGCTGTTGTTACAGATGATATTTTTAGGAAAACATCCCGTGACAGCAAATCAGAATTGGACTCTTTTTCAGAGAAATGATTTTATTGATGGAGTACAACCTGGGTATTTAGCTTCCTTTCAACAAAATTTTTTGTGCCCCTTTCTTGAGACTGTCCATGAATGACAGAGACATAGAATAAGAACTGGGGTGCTAAAGATGGAATAGGCAAACCCCACACCAAGGAAATCCACAGTGAAGTGGAAATCTGGTTCTTATGAACATTTTAAGAGCATCTGAAGCCTGTACTTCACCAACCCTAAAATAATACGTAACACGAGATGATTCCTCAGGAAGGAACATATAGACATACAGACAGGAGACAACATATAGACATTAGAACTTACAGGACAAAGAACTCTTTTTCCCTGAATCATTTGAGATGAAGTTTCTTCCCATCACCAGGCATTCCTACAAACAAGGACCTTCACACGACTAAGATGCCACCTGGTGATTAAAGAACACTTTGGGCTGGTCCGATCCATTGTACAAGTTAAAGCACTGATGGGTACACAGGTCTTACCCCTGTTGGCGATCGGGTCACAAGGAGCCAGTGTGTGTGTCACCAGGAGGTTGTATGGACGAGACTGGATTTCTGGAAATATCCTTTACTGACTCTGAAGAATCCCATGGCTCAGGGAGGTACACTCATGTCCTTTCTTACTTCTCCGGTTCCACTCTGTTGACTAGTAGTTGGCCTCTTGAGCCATACTTGCTGTCAGTTCTGGACATTGTTCTGTGAGAATGGGGTCAACGGGCAGTCGTGGTGCAGGTGAGCTTGTGTGCAAGGCGGCAAGATAGCCACATTGAGTTGGGGACAGTATGGCCTGGGGGTGTTGGATAGGTAAGGCAGAAGCAAGCCCAGAACTTGGAGCCTGTTGTGACTGTCACAGTAAGGAGTTTGAAGTCCTGAAAGCAGTTGAGAGCTGTAGGAGGGCCAGATTGGGCTTTTGAGCAAGATAGTCTAGATGAAAGTAAAGAGATGGAGACGCTTCAGCAACCAGATGGGAGGTTGGGCATGGGAGCTGTGGCTGTGCTGAGCTGAGAAGCCTCAGACTGCCTGCGAGGCTCTCTCTGGGAGGAAGTCAGGTCTTTCTTTCCTTCGTTTCCTTCCTTTCATTCCTTTCCTTTCCTTCCTTTTTCCTCTTTCTTTCTTTCCTTTTCTCTCTCTCTCTTTTTCTTTCTCTCTTTCTTTCGAGATGGAGTCTCGCTCTGTTGCCAGGCTGGAGTGCAGTGGCATGATCTCGGCTCACTGCAATCTCTGCCTCCCGGGTTCAAGGGATTCTCCTGCCTCAGCCTCCCTAGTAGCTGGGATTAAAGGCACGCACTGCCACGCCCGGCTAATTTTTGTATTTTTAATAGCGACAGGGTTTCACCGTGTTGGCCAGGATGGTCTCGATCTCCTGACCTCATGATCCACCTGCCTCGGCCTCCGAAAGTGCTGGGATTACAGGCGTGAGCCACCGTGCCCAGCCAGGTCTTTTTCTTAAAGAGGGACAGACTGAAGGTAGGCTGTGAATGGTCAGTTATTTGTATTTCTTTACCTTTTATGCTATCTTGTAGTTTGACCAGTTTGCAAAACAAATTGAATAAAAAGTAATTGATAATGTTGTTTTGATGCTCAGTGTTTGAGGGAAACACAATCTAGTGAATGGGGTTATTGGTTGTCACACCTGGGAGAGTGAAAATGAGGGGCTCACAACCCAGGTGAGGTCATCTGGTGCCACTCAGCCCCATCCCAGAGAAAGCAGCCTTGGGATGCTGGCCTCGGTGACAACCAAGAAGTGATGGTGGGTTGCTAGAGACAGGGTGGAGCACAGAGCCCTGGAAGGAAGCAGGAAGTCAGGTTCAAGAAAGGACTTGTGACCTCACCCTTGGCTTCAGGGTTTTATTTTTCTTTCTTTTAAAACATTTTGAGACAACATGTAGACATTCAAACTTACAGAACAAAGAACTATTTTTTCCCTGAATCATTTGAGACTAAGTTCCCTCCTATCACCAGACATTTCTACAAATGAGGACCTTCACAGGACTAAGGTGCCACCATCAGAACCACAATATGTGGGGACGGTACTGCCAGCTAAGCCTTAGTGCTGTTTCGGTGTTGACAGCTGTCACAATGATGCCCTTTTCAGTAGAGGAGCCTGTGATGGTCACGTGTTGCAGGTGATCATTGTGCCATTTGGTTTACTTCTGTCTGGAAAGTTTCTCCTTTCTGTAACCTCCATGACCTTGACACATGAGGTCACTCTTCTCACCCGCCCCACCTCTGGGAGGGTGCCTGATTTGCCCTGCCCCACCCAGCGGCTTTAGGACTCAGCTCTTCAGGAACAATTAGGGAGAGGGCCCTTGGGTCTAACTGCAAAATCATACTTGAACTAGAAAATCCCGTTGGCATAGGTATGGATTGTCATATAGAAACATTTTTCGCAGTGTGCCCCGTGGAACACTTGTTCTGTATGTTGTTAACAGATGTTTTGCAAAAAATGAAAAGGACCTGAGCTCTAATAAGTTTGGGAAATGCTGAATTGAAGTGAAACAGCTTTTCTTGGTGTGAGACCTTTCAGAGTCTTTAAAGGAGAGTTGCTGACCACACGTGAAATCACAATAGAAAATGGCCAGCAGGCCTCCAGGTAGGCAGCAATTCCTAGACATTTGCCTGTGTTCCCTGGGGGAGCTGGTGGCCTGTGACCATCCACTGGGAAATTCCCTTCTGTGGCGAGGTTCTGTTGTTTTCCAGAGGCTCCCACGGAGCATGCTGGGTGGGTGGTCTGTATGAGACCACACCGTTGATGAGCAGTGAGGCCCAAACAGGTATATCAAAAAATGCTCAGCATCGCTGATCATCAGGGAAATGCACATCATAAACACAGTGAGACGTTGCCTCACACCTGCCAGAATGGCTACTGTCAGACGAAAGACAACAAGTGTGGGTGAGGATGTGGAGAAAAGCGAACACTTGTCCACCTTTGGTGAGAATGTAAATTGGTATAGCCATTATGGAAAACAGGAAGTTCCTGAAAAAATTAAGAACAGCTACCAGGAATCCCACATCTGGGTGTATATCCAAAAGAAATGAAGTCAGTACCTTGAAGAGATCTCTGCAGCCCCTGTTCATTGCAGCATTATTCACAATAGCCAAGATAGGGAAAAAGCCTCAGTGTCTACTGACAAATAAAGATGGATCAAGAAAATGCATGTATGTATACACACACACAGTGGAATACCAAGTCTTGCAGAAGAAGGAAATCCTGTCATTTGTGACAACATGGATGAGCTGAGAGAACATTATGCTAAGTGAAATAAGCCAGACACAGAAAGAAAAATACCAGATGATCTCACTTATATGTGGAATCTAAAAAGGTTGGACTCAGAAGCAGAGAGTGGAATGGTGGTTACCAAAGGCCAGAGGGTGCAGGAAGTGAGCAGATGTTGGTGAAAGGGTGCAGAGGTTCAGCTATGCAACATGAATGAATTCTGGAGATCCACTGTGCAGCATGGTGACTATGATACTGCTTTGTGTATTTAAAATTTTCAGAGAGTAGATCTTGTGTTCTTTCCCCTCTCCAAATAAAAGGAAATTATTTGAGGTGATGGATATGTTTAACTAGCTTGACTGGGGCAATGATTTTGTAATGATAAGTATCTCAAAACATCATGTTGTACAACATAAGTATACAATTGACCCTTGAACAATACAGGTTTGAACTCTGTGGGTCCACTTACATGCGGTTTTTTTTTTCTGTAAAAGTTACACCCGATGCGTCAGCCCCTTCTTCTACCTCTTCCACCTCTGGCACCCTTGGCACAGCAAGACCAACCCCCCACTTCCTCCTCCTCCTCCTCAGCCTACTCAGGGTAAAGACAAGGATGAAGACCTTTATGATGATCCACTTCCACTTAATATATAATAAATATATTTTCTCCTCATGATTTTCTTAAAACTTTTTCTGTATTTTATTGTAAGAATACAGTATATAATACATACAACATCGAAAATATGTGTTAATTGACTCTGTTATTGGTAAGGCTTCTGGTCAACAGTAGGCAATACTAGTTGTTAAGTTTTAGGGGAGTTAAAGTTCTATGTGGGTTTTCGATTGTGTGTGGGGTCTGTGCTCCTAATCCCTGGGTTATTCAAGGTTATTCTACATAATTTTTCTGTCCGTTACACCTCAGTAAAGCTGGATAAAAGCGAAAACCAAAAGACTACGAAGGCTAGGAGAAAATCAGTACATGCCACTCCAGCCCCCATTCTCCCCAGAAGCAGTCCCCACTTCTTCCCCTCAGCTTTGTCCCCTGTCAGTTTAAAATCATGAGGTTCATAAATTTGAAAAGGAAAGCTTTATTTCTTGTAAAGGGTCTCAGCCTGCAAAATCGCCATCCTGGCAGGCTGGGAAGTGTATCCAGCAGAGACCAAAGGCAGGTACTTGGAGACGGGGAAGGATGAGGCAGGAATTTATGCTGAATGGGTTGGCCAAGCATACATATTCAACAGGTGATGGGGGGAGCTATGAATATTCATGACAGGGGGACATGCACATGCATTGTAAACATTCCTGTTACATACGCCCCATGATCACTTTGGGGTGGAGACTTAACATTTAAATGCATTTCAATTAGGACTTATGTGTCAAAAGGTGAAGCAGGGACATGAACGCCCTCAGTGCATGCCTGGGCAAACTAGACAACCAGTCCATGCTTGGTGGTCTTTTACCAGGAGAAAGTCCCTGAAATCAGGCTCTTGTTAAAGCTGTAGTTACAGCTGGTGGAGAAGGGGGTCAGTTAGTCTGCATCTGGCCATAGGTGGTGAGCTGAAATTGTTGCCGTATTGCTGATCTCCAGGCCCCTGCTTATTTAGCTGCCAGAGAAAAAGAAAACAAAACAAAACTTTGTGGCAGTTAGAACCTAGTTTATTTTTTAAGTGCCTGACTTAACTCTTGCCTGGCATGGCCATAGGTCATGTTTATAATTTGGCATCTTACTTCCACAAAGAGTCTGTTCTGTCGTGTTATGATCTGTAATTTTAACACCACCAACAGACTTCTCTCTCCTTCAGGTCAAATTCTCCAAGTTAACCTTAGCATTGATGCAGCTGAAATACTGGAGCCATTGAACGGACACTTCTGACCTGTTCCTACACTATCCTCCCACCTTTGGGTGCTGAGGTAGATTGCTATGGGTTGAACTATATTCCCCAAAATTCACATGTTGAACTCCTAACCCCAGTACTTCAGAATGTGACCTTATTTGGAGATAGTGTCTTTAAAGAGATAATTAAGTTAAAATGAGATCATATGAATGGGATGTAATTTAATATATGTGTCTTTATAAGATGAGGAGATTAGGACGCAGACTCACACAGAGGCATGGCCAACTGGAAGCCAAGGAGAGAGGCCTCAGAAGAAAGCAAACCTGCCCACACCTGGATCTCAAACTCCCAGCCTCCAGAAGTATGAGAACACAAATTGTTTAAACTACACAGTCCATGGTACTTTATGGCAGCCTAAGCAAACTAGCCCAGACACACTCAGCAACCTTCCCACTGCCAGTCACACGATGCGCGCACATACATGCTGGGCACTCCCCAAGGCCCTGTGCCTCTGGGAGAGTACGCAGAACCCCATGTCATGATTCCTCCCATCGGAGCTGAAGGAAGCCAGAACATGCTGACCTGCAACATGCTACTTTAGCCTAAGGATTATTTGGCACTGGAGGCAGTTAAGAAGCAGCAAATGTATTTGCCTAAAAGCAAGACATACATTTTTCAAAAGTGTCTCTCCTTCCCTCTCTGAACAAGAGTTAATCACAAAGACAGCTCCAGACACCGCTCAGCTTGGAGATGGCAGCAGAGGTGTTCACGTAACCATCCTCACTAACTCGCCTTCTCTACCCCAACCTTTCCACTTGGTGCAGACGCCTTCCTGCAGCGCCGTCTCTGGAAGCTTGAAGTCACTTTCCTGTGTCCCAGCATTTCTCTACAAATAAATTGTTCTTAGTGAAGATGGTACGTATGCCAGAGCGTGAAGCCTATCTTTCAATTGCTGTTTCCTGAATTTCTCTCATGTCTATATGAGATGTACATGCTAGAAACTTGTTTTTCTCTTATTAATCTTTTAATTTTTTTTTATAGGGGCCCCAGCAGAAAACTTAGAAGAGTACACAGAATAGGATTTTTTCCTTCTTTACAAAGTTCCGTGTAGGAAGGCATGAGCATTTCTCTTCCTATCACAAGTGTCCATGCCATGGTGTGTCCGGAATTGGTGGGTTCTTGGTCTCACTGACTTCAAGAATGAAGCCGCGGACCCTCGCGGTGAGTGTTACAGCTCTTAAGGTGGCGAGTCTGGAGTTTGTTCCTTCTGATGTTGGGATGTGTTCGGAGTTTCTTCCTTCTGGTGGATTCGTGGTCTCGCTGGCTCAGGAGTGAAGCTGCAGACCTTCGCGGTGAGTGTTACAGCTCTTAAAAGCAGTGTGGACCCAAAGAGTGAGCAGTAGCAAGATTTATTGCAAAGAGCGAAATAACAAAGCTTCCACAGTGTGGAAGGGGACCCGAGCGGGTTACCACTGCTGACTAGGGCAGCCTGCTTTTATTCTCTTATCTGGCCCCACCCACATCCTGCTGATTGGTAGAGCTGAGTGGTCTGTTTTGACAGGGCGCTGATTGGTGCGTTTACAATCCCAGAGCTAGACACAAAGGTTCTCCACGTCCCCACCAGATTAGCTAGATACAGAGTGTGGACACAAAGGTTCTCCAAGGCCCCACCAGAGTAACTAGATACAGAGTGTCCATTGGTGCATTCACAAACCCTGAGCTAGACACAGGGTGCTGACTGGTGTGTTTACAAACCTTGAGCTAGAGACAGAGTGCCGATTGGTGTATTTACAATCCCTGAGCAACATAAAGGTTCTCCATTTCCCCACCAGACTCAGGAGCCCAGCTGGCTTCACCCAGTGGATCCCACACCGGGGCTGCAGGTGGAGCTGCCATGCGCCCGCACTCCTCAGCCCTTGGGTGGTCGATGGGACTGGGCTCCGTGGAGCAGGGGGTGGTGCTCATCCGGGAGGCTCAGGCCGCACAGGAGCCCAGGGAGGGGGTGGGAGCCTCAGGCATGGCCGGCTGCAGGTCCTGAGCCCTTCCCGGCGGGAAGGCAGCTAAGGCCCGGCGAGAAATCGAGCGCAGCGCCGGTGGGCTGGCACTGCTGGGGGACCCGGTACACCCTCCGCAGCTGCTGGCCCGGGTGCTAAGCCCCTCATTGCCCGGGCCGGCAGGGCCGGCCGGCTGCTCTGAGTGCGGGGTCTGCCAAGCCCACGCCCACCCGGAATTCCAGCTGGCCCGCAAGTGCCGCGCGCAGCCCCAGTTCCCGCTCGCGCCTCTCCCTCCACACCTCCCTGCAAGCTGAGGGAGCTGGCTCTGGCCTTGGCCAGCCCAGAAAGGGGCTCCCACAGTGCAGTGGTGGGCTGAAGGGCTCCTCAAGTGCCACCAAAGTGGGAGCCCGGGCAGAGGAGGTGCCGAGAGCGAGCGAGGGCTGTGAGGACTGCCAGCACGCTGTCACCTCTCAATGGTACCTGGGCTAAAATAGACATTCAGGACCATGTTTTTGAACAGTTAGGAAAATGAGTGGATTTTCTGCATCAAATTTTCAGTAGTTCCCAGGAACAGTTAGCATAATGGGCCACAAGGGCATGCAGGGTGGTGAGTGGATGTGGTGGGGGCCGCCTGGATGACAGGCCTGGCCTGGGGCTCCTCATGGCCGGAAGTCAGCCTCCCTGTGTTAGCTCTGCCCGCAGGTCCTGGGCCTCATCTCTGGATTTGTTTGGGAGGGCTGCCATAATAAAGTACCACAGACTAGGGGCTTCAACAACAGAAATGTATGTCTTCCAGTTCTGGAGGCTGGGAGTCCAACATCAAGGTGTTGGCAGGGTTGATTCCTTCTGAGACTGTGAGGGAGAATCTGTTCCAGGTTCCTAGGAGCACAGCGTTCCCCTTCTGACAGGCACAAAGCAGGAAACAGCCAACCCTGGGGGCCTGTTGAGGAGGACAGAAGCCTAGGACACACTGCGGGGCCCTGAGCACAGCCCCATGGGGAGGGGAGTGGCAGGAGCAGGAGTTTCCACCCCAGGCAGCTGCCCCCTCTGCACCTGGGACCATCGGGTGGGCAGCAGGCCCAGTGCCCAGTGACTGACTTGCTCATTCATGGCTGATTTTCTCACACATATGTGCTTCCCCAGACCTCCATCATGGCCCTTGGGGCCAGGACTGGTCTGCCCTGTGTGCTGACAGCCACTTCACTGGCAGGTACCTGGATTCATGTACAAATCTGGGCCTAAACCCAGCTCTTGCCTTCTCTCTGTTTCCAGGTGAGACCTGCCTCTGCTCCGGCTCTGGCAGCTGGCTTGATCCCCTTCTCCTCCCTGGCCTTAGGGGGCACTGAGACCTAGGACAGATGAGATGCCCACCTGGAGTTTGTGTCTAGTTGGACATTAGGTGAATAGGATTTCAGCATAGGGAGTTTTGGAAAATCAGTCCCTGGTGACAGGGCTTTGAGTGAGTTGATTTATTAAGACTTGACATAGAGCCAGGCATGTGATTCTGGGCAGATGACTTGCCCCCTTAGGCCTTCGTTTCTCATTTCTCATCTGCAGTACGTGGGGGTGAGCAGTTCCATCAGATCAGGAGACGGGGCTCAGAAGGAGCCCGGCCTGCCATCCTAGATGCTCAGGATGGTGGCAACGGCTTGTTCTCAGTTGGCCATGGCCCTCAGTCCCATCTCCCCTTTGCAATTTTGATTGCCTGGGATGTCTGGTCATCCCCTCATGGACCCAAACCATGGGGCTGGGAGACAGTGGAAAAGGAAGGATGCAGGGGTGGGTACAGGCTCCCTTGCTCCCTAGTCCAAGCCAAAGAAAGGAGGCCTGAGTCCATTGAGCACCCAGAGTTGGGGGCAGCTGCTTTCTCCATGAAACAGGTGAGCAGTGGCACCAGGCTTGGCCTGGACAGGCCACTGGGGAGGTGGTACCACAGAGGGGCCTGGTTTCTCCTCAAAGTGTGCTGAAAGTGGGCCCCTTGCACCCTGGCTGCTTCCCATCCACATGCAGGACACTCGTGTCAGGGTTGTGGGCACAACAGGGCCAGCACTGAGTGTGCGCCACCACCTTCCTCTGGGCTGGGGAGTGTCTGCCTCTGGCCCACCTCCCTCCTGCCCAGGGCATGCTCAGCCTTCTGGGTGGCAGCCCCCTTGAGCCCTCTCTTGGCAGCAGCTGAGCATTTCCAAAGAAGAAAACCCCCCAGGAGTGGGAATTATGGAGCTGCAGCCCCCAAGGTGGGGCATGCTTTTGACCAAATCAGCCAGTGGGTCTACTGGGCTTGAGGCTCAGCTGAGAGTCTCAGAAATCCAGAGTATGCCTGACACCATGGGCCTCTGTTTATCTGTACTTCTATGTGCATGTGGAGGGGCTCACCCCCAATGCCACATGCACTCCTAGGTCTGAAAATGGGGGAGGGATGGGGTGTTTTCCACCTTGCGCCACTTTGATGCCTTCCATCAGCAACTCTGAGCCAGAGCCTACTGGGGCATTACCCCTGTGCAGAGGTAACTCCCTGGCCCAGGTTCCCTAGGAACTTGGGCTATTGCACCATCAGCGAGGAGTCTGCCCAGGGGAGGGGAGGCAGTGAGTGGCACCTGTAGGAGCTCGGGTAGGTTCTGGAGAGCACAGCCATCTGGGTCATTGACAAGGTGCAGGCAATGGGCCTGCTGGAGAGTGCTGGGCTGCTCAGTGTGGGGCAGGGAGGAGCCCTGCAGCTGCTCTGGGATTCCCAGGAGCCTGAAGCTTTCTTGTCTGTTGCCGTGACACCATGTCACCACAAACTGAGCTGCGTAAAGCATGCACACTCCATGTCTCCTGGGCTCTGTGGTCAGGAGGGTAGCTGCAGGGCAGCTGGATGTTACATTCAAGGTGTTAGCTGCAGTGGTGGCCTCGTCTCAAGGCTCATCTGGAGAAAGATTTGATTTGGAGCTCAAGTGGATATCGGCAGGATTCATTCTGTCCCACTTCAGGACCAAGGGTCTTGGTTTCCCGCTGGTTGCCAGCTGAAGGTACCCACAGCTCCTTGCCATGTGGGCCTCCACCACAGGGCCAGGGCTCCATCACAGCCAGCAGGGGAGAGAGACTCTCAGCCATGTGGATGTTACAATCTTAAGGAGCATGATCATGGAGGTGTCATCCGTGACACTTGCCATTTCCATTGGTTACAGGCAAGTCACAGGTTCTGCACACTCAGCTGAGAGGTGAGGATATGTGGGCCACTGGACAGCCAGTCTGCTACACCCTCTGGTCTTCTTTCTTGTCTCCTGCTCTTCCCTCCACCTTGTAAGGCACTTTTTGGATGGTAGGACTGGTTTTGGGGTCCTGTGGTGCCCCATGCCTGCTGCTGTCCCAGCTTTGGTGACTGTCTCTTTGTTACAGGACCTTTGAGGTGTCAATTTTCTGGCTGGAAACCTCTGTGGTCACGGTGCCTTTGCATGAGCTCTTGTCCTGCGTCCAGGAAGAATAAGGGACATAGACAAGTGAAGGGTGAGCAAGACGAAGATGAGCTCTATTGAGTGTTACAACAGCTCAGAGGACACCTGCATTGGGTAGCTCCTCTTCTAGGCAGGTCATCTGTCGAGTGTTCAGTTCTCAGTAGAGAGGAGGCCCAGGAGAGGTAGCTCCTCTCTGCAACTGGTCATCCTGATGTTTGCAGCTCTCAGCAGAGAGGAAGCCCTGGAGAGGGTGGTTCCTCTCTGCCAGCAGGTTGTCGCTGCAGCTATCAGCAGAGAATGTGGCTCCTCTCTGTGGGTTGTCCCATCATCTCCAGCTATCGGCAGAGAGGGTACTCCTTTCTGCAGCTGGTTGTCCCATCATCTCTCTGCCCTCTTCATCCTCTAGCTATCCTCTGCCCTGCTCTGGCTGAGTCCAGGGCTTTTATGGACCTCAGAAGGGAGGAAGTGCATGCCAGTTGTTCTGTGGGTGGCCATGGGTGGGTTAGGAAGAGGCACCACAAGTCCCCACTCTGGTTTCCGGGACTGGCAGCCCAGGCCCCAGCCTTCAGGCCCTTCTTGGCCTGAAGGTGGGCCTTACTAGGGACACACCTCCTTCTTCCCAGGACTCTGTCTGCCTCCTGCTGCCATTCATGGCCCCAGGTCTCAACCCCAACCCTGCTCTGAGATCGGAGCAGGTGCTGGGATGGGAGAGGGGCCAGGCAGTGGGAGCAGACTCTTCTGAGCCTGGGATGGGGACTAGTGGGGAGGCCTTCCCAGGCCCCTGAGGTTGCAGGCTGCAGAGATGCCCAGGTCTTGTGCCTGGGAGGGCAGCCACAGCTGCATCCACGGAACTCCCACCCTGCCAACTCAGAAGGGGTGGGGTTCCTGCTTGTCCCTGGCTCCTGCCTGCTCTGTGGAGTGAGAGGCCCAGGTCTGCAGCCACAGGTCAGGTGGTTGCAGCTGCATCCAGGCAGGCAGATCTGGCCTGCTGCTGGCCCCCTCCAAGAGCACAAGGAGGCTTGGATCCACAGTCCCAGGAGGGTGGGGCTTCCATCAGCTCCGTGGAGTGTTCAGCCCCAGCCACGCCTCCCTGCTGCTGCCATCATTTCCCCCTCTGAAGAGGTACACCTAACTGCTGTTAGGGTAGGGACAATGACCACTCTTAACTGCTTCGTGCTGACCAGGGATATTGTTTTGGGAAAACAACAGTCAAGTCTCTCTCAGAGACCTATCTAAGAATATCCAGTACAAGGCAGCCATCATCTGAGGCTCCATTTTCATGACCATTTGGAGTTTAACGGCCCATCCCTTGTTTCTTCTGAGCTGTAGTCAGATATCACTAGTTGGTTCACCTTCACAATTGTCAAAAGCTACAAATAGCTCAAAAGAAAAGCTTCCTTGATTCTGAAAAACAAGATAAAGGATCAACAGTATTCCAAGCAAAAGGTCAAAACAAGATTGCTTCAGTCTTCTATTAGTTCAGCTCACCCAGTCAACTCCTATTCACAATCTCCAAAATTATCAGAAATCTGCATTTGAAGACTATAATCCATCCCTTGAAGAGGATCAAAACATGACAACAATTGTCTGTGAATGTCAAAATGTCCTAGCGTATTCATAGTCAAAAACACAATTGATGAAGAAATCTGGTCACCTCTGTGATTTACAATAACCTAACACAATAACCCTAGCTATGATTGATAACACAAACTCAGGCATCAGAAATCTAGAAATCCCATACAATTTTGAAACACACATTAACATTTTTCACTAAAATATAACCTGAAGATCAAACACCTTATTTTGGTAATCCTATGTAACTAAACTTGTCAAATAACCCTGTTTACCTCTCCCTTTCGATGCTCCAGGTGTCTTCTGTAGCATCCAAAACTCAGGGGTTAGGAAAGAAAATTTTGAAGCTGTAAAGGCTCAAAACACTTAACAGAATTTTTGGTTACTATAAGTCATTCATTTAAATGACTCAAAGCAAAAACCTTCAGTCACTAAGAGGGAAGACCTAATTTTCCAAACAATCTAACTTTTAACCATCGCACTCCTTTTTAAGAAGTCCTTTTAAGTCTCTTATTATCCAACTTTAGCCATGCCAAATGGCCAGTTGAATTCATGGAGGGGCAGAGAATATAGTGATTTTTTTATTGTTCCTGCAACCAGTTTGCACAGAGAGAGAAACCAAAAGTCTGACTGGTAAGAACTTTTACCCTTTCGCCAGCATGTCAGGCTGCTGAGCTCCCTTCCCCTCAGCTATGGAGCCCTATTGACCCTGGAGTCCTGTTGATCTCTTGTCCTTCCCTTCTTGTGTCAGTAGCTTATTCACAAAGAAAACAAAATCTTTCATTGCATGAAAATCTTGTTCAAGTGAAAGCCAAATTTTACCCTTACATTAGTCTATTAATGTCAACCCCAATTAAAAAAAATAAAACCTTACAGAGAAATCCATCCAATCTTAATCAGTTTGATCATGAACTGAGATTGTTATAAATCTTTTATAACCTTTTACAAATTTTTTTTGTTAAACAGCATGTAAGTGCTTCAAGAAAACCTTGTTGTGCTTGTATTCCATTGTTCAACTTATGGAAAACCAAATAATATCCTTTTTAGTGTAGTCAATATGTTTACACACAGGATTCCTTTTACAAGATTAATTTTTTACAAACCTTCCATAACTTGTTTGAACCTTAAGCTTTATCTTATATAATTTAAAACAATCATTTAACCCTCTGAACTAGGCAAAAATTTACATTCCCATGCCTTCTTATATTATTTTACTAATGATACATTTTACTCTCCTTACTCACCTCACGTGTAGATCTGTTTTCAGTAGTCATCACTACATGTTATAATGGTAGCTCTTAGTAATTGTTAATTTTGGTGAAATACCCAGTAAGTTATTTTAGTTACGTACTTAGGTGCAGATGAGGTCTAACTATTTCCAGCATAGCTAGGGCAGGCCCTACCAAACTGCAAAGCAGGAAAGTTGAACAATTTTCAAAAGCCAAAGCAGTTTATGACCTTAAAGCATTTAGTCAACCTAGTTTCTGACTTGCATAATTTAGACCATGTCTATATTTTGAAGACATTTCTATTTTCATTTTACTGATAATTTAAAAGACAGCCTATTTAGCAAAGTCATACTTAAGTGAATTTGAAAATTGCTTAGACTTATTTACTTAATTTATGAACACTCTTTTACTTATAAGCCAATTTGGTAGACACAACATATAACAGTAAGTGTACATACAAGTAAACACATCTAGACATGTATACACACACACAAATGAAGAGGTGGAGCTTAAAACACCCAAATTGGGTGCAGTGTATACTGCTTGGGAGATGGATGCACCAAAATCTCACAAATCACCACTAAAGAACCTGCTCATGTAACCAAATAATACCTGTTCCCTCAAAACCTATGGGAAAAAAAAACTAAAAAAAATACTTAAATGGTATCACAGAACTAATTAGCCGAATACAGTATCTAGTACCTGGCTGTCACCCAATACTTGCCTCATACCATCACATCTAGAAAACAAGTAGATATTCTTTTTGGAAGAGCCCTGAGGGAGCTACTAGGAGGTTTGCACGGCCTGCTCTCCTGCCCTCTTCTTGCTCTGTGGCTGAACTTCAATTCTCTTCGGGCTTAGACCCCACTGACTCGCTCCCGGGCAAAGCAAACGATTTGATCAGATGGCCACGTGCATTCTTCCTTTTCCTGAAACCAGCACCATAGGGTAAAAGATTATTTCTACTTGGTTGCCTTCCAGATGTTTCACACTTGGACAGCAAACTGATTTCAAACCACTCCTTTTCAAAGATCTCTGAGGGAGACATTGCACCTGGCCACTGCAGCCCAGAGCAGGTCTGGCCACGGCCATGAGCATGCTGAGCCATCATGCCCACCGTGGATGACATTCTGGAGCAGGTTGGGGAGTCTGGCTGGTTCCAGAAGCAAGCCTTCCTCATCTTATGCCTGCTGTCGGCTGCCTTTGCGCCCATCTGTGTGGGCATCGTCTTCCTGGGTTTCACACCTGACCACCACTGCCAGAGTCCTGGGGTGGCTGAGCTGAGCCAGCGCTGTGGCTGGAGCCCTGCGGAGGAGCTGAACTATACAGTGCCAGGCCTGGGGCCCGCGGGCGAGGCCTTCCTTGGCCAGTGCAGGCGCTATGAAGTGGACTGGAACCAGAGCGCCCTCAGCTGTGTAGACCCCCTGGCTAGCCTGGCCACCAACAGGAGCCACCTGCCGCTGGGTCCCTGCCAGGATGGCTGGGTGTATGACACGCCCGGCTCTTCCATCGTCACTGAGGTAAAAAAGCCTCTGTAACATGGGAGTTCCTGGGACAGGGAGAAATATAAAGCAAATCCTATGAAGTTCAGTTCCATATCAGGAAAGAGGTAGGGGGCTATGTTTATTGTGCAGTTCGTGGGTGTCTGGCTGTGTCCCAGGCACGGGGCATTCTCTTCTCTAGTTTAATCCACCACAAACTCTGGGTCTTTGAGGAGGAAGCTGAGGCAGGAGAGAACAGCTAGCACAAGTCGGGGGCCAGGTTGCCAGGTTGCTTGAATGGGAGTTGACTGGGAGACCAGGAGCCTCTCTGCCTGCCCCACTGGCTTCTCCCAGAACTATCAACTTGCTCTGGGTCCCGCTTCCCCACCAATAGTACTGTGGGCCCCCTCCTTCTGCTCAAGAGTGATGACGATTGACCTCAATGATGGTGTTGAGGTGGCCTGGAATTGCCCTGGCTTGGAAGTGAGAATATTTGGTGGAATCCCAGCTGTGCCCCTTATTAGCTGAGCATCACTGGGTAAGTCACTGCCTCTCTAAGCCTCATTTCCTCATCAGTCAACCAGGGATGATGACGGCTGCCTCATAGGGGTGTGAGCTTCAGCTGGGATCTGTGAAAGCACTGAGCAAATCCAAACTGAGTCACACCGTGCAGTCCGATGGGGCCCATGGGATAGGGCGATGGCCTCAAAAGGGCCTTGCTTGAGTAGTTTACTTGGTTATTTGAGCATTTTGCTTTGAGAATCCTTTAGTAAAAAGTGTCACCACATTTTTTTCCCATCATGAGCCCTTTTGAAACTATTGCACGGTAACAAGTGTGGATGCTTGGTGGGTTGGAGAAGCTGTGGGCCAAAGCCCGTCAGGGGCCTTCTGTTAGTAACGAGCAGTGGCGTGGTTTTGGTGCAGGCACTGCTTCCCTGAAATAAGAGGTAACTGGGCCCTCCCTGCCTCTGGTCCTGCCCACTTGTCTGCCCCCACTACCCTCGCCCAAGCTCTCCGGACTTCTTGGGTCTCTGTTCTTCCTCTTTTCCCTTTCCTGAGTGGTATCAGCGGTGACACATTTAGGGCTATTACTGGAGGAAAGCTTAGGGTCCCTCCCCTCTGGGCCTGAGCATTGCTCTACCTGCTTGCCTGGAGCAGAGCAGGTGCCGGTGCAACTGGCTTTACGATGCTGAAGAGACATCTTGTCTCCAAGGCATCCTCCAACAATGGATGACAAGTTAGGCAGCCCACCTTCCAGGGATCTCCAACCATCTGACATTCCCACTGGGAATCTAGAAGCAGACCAGGATGAGGATGTGTTTGCTCTCTGGGACTGAGACATACTCTGCTTTGAGGAGATCAGATGTGATCATTCCTCCAGTCAGACATCCACCCAGTATGTTCGGCATACTCCCTCTATTCTGGCACTGGGTGTGATGCCGCAGGGGAGATGCAGAAGAAGATTGTGAGGTCCCTCAAGGAGTCTGCAGTCTTGTGGGGACTGAGAGGGGAAGAGGATGGCAAGAATGAGACCAGTGTTCGTTTAATGACAGCCCAAGGCCGCCTGTGGTGAATGCCATGAGCAGGGCGGAAAGGGACTGGTGGGCTCTAAGAAGGTAGAGATCTCAGCTGCTGAGCTCTGAGCTGATCATAGACGTCTTCTGGGAGGAGGTGGCTTTGAGCTGAGCCTCAGCTGGTATTTGGACCAGCAAGGAGAGGGGACAGGTGGAGTAGAGGGGAGGGGAAGTAGATCCCCAGACCAAGGGGAGAGCTTGAGCCTAGGCTCAGGGCCCAGGGAGTGTTTGCTGCATTCAGGGTGCAAGGAGCACTGATATGAGGGTCATGATATGAGGAGTTGTGGGGAGAACACTGGTGTCTAACCTTGGGGCCAGAACACGGAGTGCTTAGTGTGGGGTTGCCAGGTACAATACAGGATGCCCAGTTAAACTCGAACATTTGAACTTCAGATAATCCAACTGGATAGGATACTTACTTCCCAGATACTGCATGATATTTGGTACTGATAACTGAGACTGGAAATGCAAATATTGCATGAACATACTTATCCTAAAAAAAAAAAAGTTGTTTATCTGAAATTCAAATTTACCTGGGCATTCTGTATTTTTATTTGTGAACCCTGGCAACGCTACCTTAGTGCCCAACAAAGGAGTTTGGGTCTTATTTAGGCAGGCAAGCAAGGTGACCCTAGCTGGACTCGTGAATGGGTGGGAAGGGGCGGTGGTGGGATTGGAGGCTTCAGGAGAGGTAGAGAGATGCATGAGGAGGCCAAGAGTGAGCCCCGGTAAGAAGTGTTGGCCAACATGGTTGTCATGGGAATGAAGGGAAGACAAGATGTAAGAGATGCCAGCATTGTCAGGGCTGGGGAGAAGGAGGCCCAGCTTGGCGGAGGGCTCTGGCTTGGGGGGTATAGGCAAATGGAGCTTCTGAACGCTGAACTGGGAGCCTTGGAGAGGCAGCCATGTGGGCAGGTAGAGGGGCCTGGTAAGAGGGGACCTTGGGGTGCAGCAGAAGTGGGGAGGCTGGGACAGAGAGGGGCCCGAGAGTGCTTTAGAACAGCTTGCCTGTCCGTGGCAGCTGTGGAGGGGGCTTCCAATAACCCCAAGATGTAGAGCCCTGGGGAGGATTGTGGGAATCCTGGAACTCTGATGGGCAGAGATGGTGAAGAGGATATGGTTTGTATTGTACCTGGCAACCCCACACTAAGCACTCCATGTTCTTTTGGGGTCGTGGTAAGTTGGGAGGGTGGTGGGATTCATGTGGAGATTTTCCAAGGTGATTGGAAGCCTGGGGGTAGGTGGGAGGGTGATAGAAACTGGCTCGTGGGTAAGAATTGTCTCCCACTTTAACCCCAACTTCCTTGGCCCCAGCTCCTCCTCCAAAACTGAAAATTATTGTTGGGGAATCAATCTTAGTTATTCATTTCTGCAGAACTAATTTTTAACCTAGCATTGCCTTGGACATTGGAACTTGCTTTAGGAGGGAAGGTGAGCTAATCTGTTCGAACGCCAAGTTTAACTCCCACTGCAAGGCTAGGTGCTAAGATCATGAGGTCCACTCGGGGGGGATGTGGGCATTTTCCTGGCTTTTGACTCTCCCAACAAGAGGATCTCCTCTGGTGCTAAGATCATGAGGTCCACTCGGGGGGGATGTGGGCATTTTCCTGACTTTTGACTCTTCCCAACAAGAGGATCTCCTCTGGTGCTAAGATCATGAGGTCCACTCAGGGAGGGATGTGGGCATTTTCCTGGCTTTTGACTCTCCCAACAAGAGGATCTCCTCTGGTGCTAAGATCACGAGGTCCACTCGGGGGGGATGTGGGCATTTTCCTGGCTTTTGACTCTCCCAACAAGAGGATCTCCTCTGGTGCTAAGATCATGAGGTCCACTCGGGGAGGATGTGGGCATTTTCCTGGCTTTTGACTCTCCCAACAAGAGGATCTCCTCTTCTGCTAAGATCATGAGGTCCACTCGGGGGGGATGTGGGCATTTTCCTGGCTTTTGACTCTCCCAACAAGAGGATCTCCTCTGGTGCTAAGATCATGAGGTCCACTCGGGGGGGATGTGGGCATTTTCCTGGCTTTTGACTCTCCCAACAAGAGGATCTCCTCTGGTGCTAAGATCACGAGGTCCACTCGGGGGGGATGTGGGCATTTTCCTGGCTTTTGACTCTCCCAACAAGAGGATCTCCTCTGGTGCTAAGATCACGAGGTCCACTCGGGGGAGATGTGGGCATTTTCCTGGCTTTTGACTCTCCCAACAAGAGGATCTCCTCTGGTGCTAAGATCATGAGGTCCACTCGGGGGGGATGTGGGCATTTTCCTGGCTTTTGACTCTCCCAACAAGAGGATCTCCTCTGGTGCTAAGATCATGAGGTCCACTCGGGGGGGATGTGGGCATTTTCCTGGCTTTTGACTCTCCCAACAAGAGGATCTCTTCTGGTGCTAAGATCATGAGGTCCACTCGGGGGGTATGTGGGCATTTTCCTGGCTTTTGACTCTCCCAACAAGAGGATCTCCTCTGGTGCTAAGATCATGAGGTCCACTTGGGGGGGATGTGGGCATTTTCCTGGCTTTTGACTCTCCCAACAAGAGGATCTCCTCTGCTGCTAAGATCATGAGGTCCACTCGGGGAGGGATGTGGGCATTTTCCTGGCTTTTGACTCTCCCAACAAGAGGATCTCCTCTGGTGCTAAGATCATGAGGTCCACTCGGGGGGTATGTGGGCATTTTCCTGGCTTTTGACTCTCCCAACAAGAGGATCTCCTCTGGTGCTAAGATCATGAGGTCCACTCGGGGGGGATGTGGGCATTTTCCTGGCTTTTGACTCTCCCAACAAGAGGATCTCCTCTGGTGCTAAGATCATGAGGTCCACTGGGGAGGGATGTGGGCAGTTTCCTGGCTTTTGACTCTCCCAACAAGAGGATCTCCTGTGGTGCTAAGATCATGAGGTCCACTCGGGGGGGATGTGGGCATTTTCCTGGCTTTTGACTCTCCCAACAAGAGGATCTCCTCTGGTGCTAAGATCATGAGGTCCACTCGGGAGGGATGTGGGCATTTTCCTGGCTTTTGACTCTCCCAACAAGAGGATCTCCTCTGGTGCTAAGATCATGAGGTCCACTCAGGGAGGGATGTGGGCATTTTCCTGGCTTTTGACTCTCCCAACAAGAGGATCTCCTCTGGTGCTAAGATCATGAGGTCCACTGGGGAGGGATGTGGGCATTTTCCTGGCTTTTGACTCTCCCAACAAGAGGATCTCCTCTGGTGCTAAGATCATGAGGTCCACTCGGGGGGGATGTGGGCATTTTCCTGGCTTTTGACTCTCCCAACAAGAGGATCTCCTCTATCAGTCTTGGTTTCAGCCACAGCCCCCACACCAGGCCAGCTGTCTTCCACCAGCCATGAGTGCTGAGCAAGGGAAAGTGGTCTCAGGCCAAGGGAGACAGAGGTAGTTACATTAGTGTTTCTCAAACTTGGCTGATCCTCAGGATCACCTGGATTCCTATTCGGGACCCACTGAGGCAGAATACACAGGGAATCTGTGGTTCCACCAGGACCCTGTGTGGTTCTCGTGATGAAGCAGTAGGTTGCTTTATAATCGTGCCGGAAAGAGCTGCCCCGGCCCTGGTGAAATCCCAGCAGGAGCAGCGAGTGGGCTTAGGAGATTCCCATCCTCCATCCCGTCCCTACCTTTATGCAGCCCCAGCTTCTCCCAGGGCCCAGCCTATCTTCTCAAGGTGCACAAATGTGTCAGGGTACTCATGGTTGGGCTGGTGTTTGGGAGCAGAGGAAGCATGGCAGGTTTACAAGCTTTGCAGGTGGCTCTAGAAACTGATCCTCAGGGTAGCCTGGGGCAGAGCCAGTTCTCTGTGTGGATGAGATGTTGGAAGGTGGGATGCACTCCAGCTCCAGGAGCTCACTGGTTCCATATACAGTCCTGGGGCATGATGGCAACAGGGTGTTTCAGGAAGGCGGCAGGCACATCTTACAGAGATACCAACTTGCAAAGATTATAATAAAAACCAGACAAACAATGGCTGAGAAGGGAATAAGCCGAGGCCCCAGGTAATAATTCCACATCTTTCCCTGACCCCTGCAACTTGAGTGAAATCCTGTACGGCAGACCACGGGTGAGGCTGCAAAGAGAGAGTTGGGCAGTTGGAGACACAAACCCTGGGAAAGCCAGATAAGGACGTGTCCACGTGTATTCTAATGGCAGAGCACACGGCAGGCAGGAAAAGAACCACAGCCAAAAAGAGTTATACATCGGGTGGGTGACCTGGGAGGCGCTCCATGGAGAAGCTGTGTTTTAAGCTGAATTTTAGAGGAAATCAATATTGGGATTGGCAGAAAACATGAGAGTGACACTGAGCAGTAGCTTGTCGCACGCCCCAGAGCTGTACCACCCATAGGAGCAGACACTGGGGTCTGGGCAGAAGGCAGTTACTAGGAGAGGCTTGTGTTTGTTTCTGAAACTCAGGTGGTAACACAGAGTTTAACCTATATTTCAGGGAAAAAAAAAAGTGCTCATGTCAAGGAACTAGTCAGTCCATCAGACAGAACCCAGGCTGGCTGAGTTCAGAGTCCTTGAGGCTTTGAATGTTGTTTGGTTTTTGAGACAGGGTCTCACACTGTCATCCAGAGTAGAGTGCAGTGGCTTGAACACAGCTCACTGCAGCCTCAACCTCCTGGGCTCAATTGATCTTCCCAACTCAGCCTCCCAAGTAGCTGGGACTACAGGCACATGGTACCATGTCTGACTAATTTTTTAATATTTTGTAGAGATGAGGCCTCACTCTGTTGCCCCAGCCTGGTCTCAAGCTCCTGGGCTCAGACGATCTTCCTGCCTCAGACTCCCAAAGTGCTGGGATTAAGGCATAAGCCACTGCACAAAGCCAGTTCTGAATGTTTGACCCCAGGATCGGGGCATGGTGTGGCTCAAACTGGCAACTTTAGAGATTTGAGGGTTGGAAGTGGGGGTAATAAAACCTGTTTCTAAAATAAAAGGGTTTATTATTTATTAAAGCTATCTGCATGTGATTTCTCCCCTCCAATGCACCCAGCAGCCCTATGGGTGTGATGGAATGGGTACAACACACGTTTCAGACAGGGAAACTGAGGCCCAGGGCTGTGAAGTGACTCACTGCCATCGTACTCCACAGTATTCTGGTTAGGGGAGCCATGGACTTGATGCAGACAAAGCAGTGTGGAGGGACGGGGGCAGGAAGGATGTGTCGACCACCCAGGAGGGGCTGTACCAGGAACTGAAAGGGTCGAGAGGCCTCCACCCAACACCCTCTGTTCTCCCCAGAGTCCACTCTTTCTGCCTGTCTCAACTCTAAAGAGGAAGGGGCCATTCTTCTGCCCTCCAGCCTCTACCATGTCTAGGCATGTGCCAGCATCACCATGCTCTGTGCTATGGGAGGTAGGACTCTTGGATGTCCCTCCACTCCTGGTTTTCTTCCCCAAGGCCTCTAAACGCAGGGAATATCTGCCTTCTCCAAAAACCCAAACAAAACAAGCCCTTCCCAGCAGCCCATGCCTGTCTTTTCCTCTGTCCCCTCCACCTTGATATCTTCCCTCCCCTGGCTTTTGGTGCATGGGAGCCTCTGATGTCCTCCTAACCTTTGGTCCCACCCACATGTGACCATAAGGCACAGTCTATCTCAAGAAACTTAACAACTAATAGCTTACTATTGACTGGAAGGAAGCTTTGCCAATCACATAAACAGCCAATGAACACATATCTTGTATGTTATATGTATTATACACTGTATTATTACAATAAAGTAAGCTAGAGAAAAGAAAATGTTAAGAAAAACTTAAGGAAGTGGAAAAACATCACGAAGTGGAAGTGAATCATCATCAAGGTTTTCACCCTCATCATCTTCACGTGGAGTTGGCTAAGGAGGAGGAGGAAAAGAGGGCTTGGTCTTGCTGTCCTGGAGGGCAGAGGCAGAAAAGGTGGAAGAGGTAGAAGAAGAGACAGGCACACTCGGTGTAAATTTTATTGAAAAAAAAAAATCTGTAAGTGGACCCGCGCAGTTCAAACCCATGTTGTTCGAGGGTTAGTTGCATTTGATATTTGCTGAGTGATTCATCAGAAACTTTGAATTTGTCTTATGAAAATGTAGTAGGAGAAAACTCTGTGAAACAGCCCAGGGATACCGAGTTTGATGAACTGCATTTGCTTTGCTGAAGAGAGGATGGAAGGGTGTAGTCCTGACTCACACATGGTTCTGTGCTTTTCGTCCTCCTCTTGCCGTGGTATGACTGGCAGTTCAACCTGGTGTGTGCTGACTCCTGGAAGCTGGACCTCTTTCAGTCCTGTTTGAATGCGGGCTTCTTGTTTGGCTCTCTCGGTGTTGGCTACTTTGCAGACAGGTATGTAAAGGCCAGTCCAGGTAAGCCTCCTCTGAATGTCATGAGAACAGATTCTAAGGGCGAATCTGTTCTCAGTGGTGGAGAACATGACCAGTTGGAATTAACTGCAGAAGCTGCTGGAGACAAGACACAGTGGCCCCTGCTTTGGGATACTGTGGGGCTACCAGGGGAGTGGTGGAGAGATTTGAGGTGTGTTTCAGAGTCCAAGCTGCATGCAGATTGTACAGTTAGTGGGCTGAGAGAAAGCGGGGACACAGCCAAGATTGATGCTTCCAGCAGGTGCCTGGTCGTGAGGCCATTTTGAGATGGGATGCAGAGGGTTAGGAAGGGATTTTGTTGCAGCGGTTGATAGGGGAGAGGTTATGGAGGAAACTAGGGCTCTTAGAGATGTTAGGTTTGGAGATGAGTTGCACGGCCTGAGACATCTACGAAGAGATGCCAAGGAGCCACTTGGGTATGTGAGTGAGCTCTGGAAAGGGGTCTGGGCTGGAGTTCAATATCGGGGGTTTGTCACCAGTAGTTGGTATTTAAGGCTGTACAGCATATCAGGATGTGCTGGAAGAGGGTGTCGAGAGAGAACTGCAATGCAGAAAGGTAGGCAGGGAAAGTGCCCTGGGAAAGGAGACAGGAAAAATGGCAGCGAGATCGAAGGACAACTGTTCTCCAGGGCGCTTGTGGAAATGCACCAGGAGACCACGAGGAGGAGTGGTCAGAATCTGCTGTGGGGGGCCTGGCACCCAGGACAGGGTGGTTGGAGAAAACCCGAAGGCAGGAGAGTGGAGTTGTGTGAACAACTCTTTAAAAGAGTGTGGGGAGGGTCCAGGATGAGGAGGCTGATAGGGGAGGGAGTCAGGGATGCAGGAAGAAGACAGGGGCCAGGGAACCCAGGCCTGGCTGGGGGTCTGAGGCCCAGCTCAGAGGTGGAGACAGAGAGAAGGGACAGAGAGCCAGGTGCTGCCGCAGGAGACAGGGAGAGGGGACAGAGCCAGGTGCTGCCCCAGGAGACAGAGAGGGTACAGAGCCAGGCGCCACTGCAGGAGACAGGGAGAGGGGACAGAGCCAGGTGCCGCTGGAGGAGACAGGGAGAGAGGACAGAGCCAGTCACTGCCCCAGGAGACAGGGAGAGGGGACAGAGCCAGGCACTGCCCCAGGAGACAGGGAGAGGAGACAGACCCAGATGCCGCTGCAGGAGACAGGGAGAGGGGACGAAGCCAGGTGCCGCCACTGGGGCTGAGCATCCCTGGTTAGAAGACGTGGGTTCTGGCAGAAGTTCCTATGTTTTCACAAAGGGCAAGGGTTTACTGGCCGGTTTGGGGCTGTCCTGAGGCGGGGTGGAGGTCTGAGGCCAGGGGACACAAGGTGGACAAGTGAAGTGGCCTAGTGGAGGCAGATGGGGGTGGCAGAGGGGACGGGGGCGGCAGGCGGGTGGGGAGCGTGGGTGGGCGGGCACACTGCATGGTCTGCCCTTGGCTTCTTTCCTTGGCTCTTGGAGAACATGGGGTGTGGTCAAAAAATTGGGTGGGAACAGTGCAATCCCAGCGAGTAATTTGCCCATTTCATTCCCGGAAAAAGGAGAAGAGAAACAGCCCTGTATGGCTACACTATCAGAGCTGAATATGGCACTGAAAAGCTTCCATGATGGTTGATAAGACTATGGGAGGAAGGAAGCCTGGTTTGGGTGCAGCCTGACCAGTGGCGATAATAATGATGCCATCTGCTAAATATGAAGATAAGGCAAGGGGACAGGCGTGAACTGGAGAGGGTCTGCGGGCACTGCCCGGCTGAGCTGTGATGCTGCTGGGAGCGCTCAGACTCCTCTTCAGACCCGGAAGGGCTGCGGAGCTTGTTGGGACAGATGAGCAGGCTGGGCGGTGCACTGGGCACTGCTGTCCTGATAGACCCTGCAGTCTCCCAGGACAGTGGTGCGGTGGCCTCCGACTGTGACCCTTGGCATCCCACCATGCATGTCTGACCCCAGATTTCAACCTCTCCCACCTGCCCTCCATGTCTCCTTCTCTCTGAAGGTTTGGCCGTAAGCTGTGTCTCCTGGGAACTGTGCTGGTCAACGCGGTGTCGGGCGTGCTCATGGCCTTCTCGCCCAACTACATGTCCATGCTGCTCTTCCGCCTGCTGCAGGGCCTGGTCAGCAAGGGCAACTGGATGGCTGGCTACACCCTAAGTAATTATCATGGGGATGAGGCCAGGTCTCAGGGTAGAATGGGATGGGCCTAACGTGGGTAGGGGGTTGTTTGTGGGGTCAAGGAGCTTGCGGGGCACCAGTTCCTTGTATTTATGTGACTAGGGCAGGACATGGGCTAGAATGGCCTCCTCTCTTTTTGTGTCTGAGACACTTAAATTATCACTTAGATTACTGACCTATTAATCAACTAATCTATTTGGGGAACAAAAAGACCCCATGCTGATGTGCTCACAGCAGTCAGGATGGGGTGCAGAAGAGGAGATAAGTGAGAGAATATTCTAGCATTTTACATAAGAAAGAACCAGCAACTCCTTAAAATAAATACAGCAAACTTGACGGGCTTGAATGGCACTCAAGAATTAGGAAAGAAAACAGGAGCAAATAAAATAAGGATTGTGAAAATCAGGATTTTGAAAAAGTTGAAGTATAAACCAACATGAGGAGTTTTACATATCAGCCTTTTTTTCCCTTTCAAATATTCTAAGGTTAAGAATACAAAACAAAAAACCCTTTCCGGGAGGAATGCAGCCTAAGAGTCATCTGTACTTCCCCAGGCCAGGGCACGGCAGCCAGCAGTGAGGATGAGCCACACTTTTACTCATTTGTGGGGGAGAAAAAAGAAATAGCCTGTCTTTTCATCTTTGAAAACAAGGTGCTATCACTTGGCATTCTGAGAACTCATTCACTAGGGCCAAGAGGATCCACGTTCCCGCCTTGAGAAGCCATGAGCAGCCTGGTGAAGCTGAGCTGGCTCAGCCCCATGCGTGTGGAGCCTGTGACAGCCTCTGCTGCTAGGCACCGTCCCACACATGGTTTGGGGGGTCTGACCCGGGGCCACATCCACGCTCCAACACCACCCGCAGCCCCTCCACCCACGACTCCCCTGACTTCCTTTTCCCCTTTTCATTTTTGTTCCCGTTACACGTATCACGCTCTAACATAGGATTGCATTCTCTTATCTGTGATGTGGAGCGTCTGCCAAATGAGGTCTCCCAGGGCAGGACTCTACCTCCTATGCTTAACGATGTGCCTCAGACACCCCGCACAGTACCAGGTCCCCAGGAGGCACTCAAAGATATTTGCTAAATGAATGAACACCCCTGGGGTCCTGACAAATATTCCAGCTGAGTCTGGAGCTTCTCGAGGAAGGCGTTGGGGAGGAGAGGCCAGTGGACTGAGTCCTGAAGCAGGCAGAGGGGAGTGCAGATGGTAAAGGAGCAGACGCGGAAAGCGACGGTCAGGGAAAAGCCAGAGAGCCAAGCAGCCTGGTGGATCTCCGGGGCCTTGGTTTGATGGGTCCGGGGCCCCGGTTTGATGGGTCCGGGGCCCCAGAGAGAAGGGGAGGCGTGAGCGCGGCTGTGGTTTGCGGGAAGGAGAAATGGGAGACACACAAGAGAGAAGCCTGGGAGCAGGTGAGGCTGGGCAAGGCCGGGTGGGAGCTTCCCGCGGGGAGACAAGCTGGACTGGGGCCCCGAGCTTCTGAACGCACGGCGTCGGGCTCCTGGGCTCCTGCAAGGAACCCGCATAACGTCCACACCTCCTGTTTCAGTCACAGAATTTGTTGGCTCGGGCTCCAGAAGAACGGTGGCGATCATGTACCAGATGGCCTTCACGGTGGGGCTGGTGGCGCTTACCGGGCTGGCCTACGCCCTGCCTCACTGGCGCTGGCTGCAGCTGGCAGTCTCCCTGCCCACCTTCCTCTTCCTGCTCTACTACTGGTGAGGCCCTTCCTCCTGCCTACGGGGAAGGGGCGCCGGCCACCCCTCTGGCTGCGCTTTCTGTCCTCTCGAGGGACCAGTCTCTTGGAGTGGGGGGCGCCTACAGGCCGTCTTCCAAAGGCCATGGTGTCCACATGCATAACGCATGGGGCTGCGCGGAGCCCGGCGCTTCCCACACTCATGACGCATAGGGATGAGCTGGTCCCGGGGTTTCCCACACGCATGACGCATAGGGATGAGCTGGTCCCGGGGTTTCCGACACGCATGACGCATAGGGATGAGCTGGTCCCGGGGTTTCCCACACGCATGACGCATAGGGATGAGCTGGTCCCGGGGTTTCCCACACGCATGATGCATAGGGATGAGGGGAGCCTGGGGCTTCCCACATGCATGATGCATAGGGATGAGCAGAGCCCGGGGTTTCCCACATGCATGATGCATAGGGATGAGCAGAGCCCGGGGTTTCCCACACGCATGATGCATAGGGCTGCACAGAGCCCGGGGTTTCCCACAGGCATGATGCATAGGGCTGCACAGAGCCTGGGGTTTCCCACACGCATATCGCATGGGGCTGCGTGGAGCCAGCGCTTCCCACCGCTTGTACTGTTCAGGTTGTTCTGTTATTACCAGGCGGCCCAGGTTACATGTGGAGCTTTCCTCAGACAAAGCCTCTTTAGATAGGTTCCCCCAGATAAAGGTGGGCCATGCCAAGAGTCGGACAGAAATCCAGGAAAACTCAGGGCCTCAGCATGTGCACTTTCCAGAAACACAAGGCTGAACCTCACTCCCGGGTGAAGGAGGCAGCTTTTTGAGGGTTGCTCAGTGGCCTTGGGAAATCTGTATCAGCGTCCAGTGGTAGGAAAGGCTCCACAGGTGGCAATCCCACTGCAATGGCTACCACTCCCGAGAGTCCCCTAGAGTCCGTCCCAGGGGTGCTGGCATGAAGTCAGATGCTCTGTTATCTTCTTGATCCTCTCCCTCTTCCCCCTCTTCTCTTCCTCTCTGCTGTCATCTCTGCTCTTCTCCCACTTCTTCATTTTTATAGTACTATTGGTATTATTATTAAGACACTGAAATACCTCTCATCTAGCCATAGAGCAGGCATTTGATCTTGATTGAATGAATGAGTGACAGAATGAAGGAACAACAGGCCTGCTCAATGCAACCTTCTCTGGGGACTGTGTACCCTGAGCCATTATGACACAGAATCAGTCCAAACAAGGTGTTAATCATATTAGCTGTGAGTGCTTCGCAGAGTCTGAAGGGCAAAGAACTCCACAGGTCAGTTTTTATTGTGGTGGAGGGAAGAGGGGGTAGCAGAAAGGTCCACAGAGAGGAATTTCTCATCCCTCCACCTTTTGTCTTAGTTTTGCTGAGAGCAGACCTCATCTGTGGGTGGCACTAGAGTTAACCCAGTCTCTCTAAATGAAAGAGTTGTACACGTATGGCCAGGGAGTTCTGAGGAGCCTGCCCTTCCCCTGCCTCGTCCTTGTGAAACAGGGATCTCTCCAGCAGAAAGGCAAATTCTGCATGCTCAGGCAGGGTGAGGCAGTCAATGCCGGCCAGCTTTCAGAAGACCCTTATGCCAGAGAGGCCCAGTCTTTGAGTTGTACCCTCCTCGTCCCATTTGAAATAGACAGCATGGTGTTGATTTGATTTTAAAGGACAGTAAATACATTTTATTTTGTTTGAGAAATATTTTGAGAAGTGTTCAACAGCCCTTGTATTGCCTGGAGATGTCCTGGTGTCATCGGGTAATATACATGGAGCATCTGCTCTGTGAGTGTTTTCCGTGGGGGACAAAGGCTGCCCCAGGAGAGATGAGGCCCCTGCTGCACAGAAGGAAGGCTACATAGGAAGCGATGGCTCCCTTTTGGTCTATAAATCTTAGGTGACACTAGGAGTCTGAGTGACCCACAGAGCTGTGACCTGGGCCACATGGGCTAGCGCACAGTGACCCCAGGTCCTCATCCTCTTGAGGGATTACAGCCCCAACGTGGGGAGGGCAGGCTGCACTGAGCAACAGCATCACCCCGCTCAGGGCTGAACGTCAGACCGAGGAAAATGCCAGATAGTGATGAGTGGTGTTCGCAGGTGTGTGCCGGAGTCCCCTCGGTGGCTGTTATCACAAAAAAGAAACACTGAAGCAATAAAGATAATGGACCACATCGCTCAAAAGAATGGGAAGTTGCCTCCTGCTGATTTAAAGGTGAAATCTAGGAAGGGGTATCTCACATCACTGAATCTGGGGCTGGGTTCTGGTGCAGATTCGTCTGGGGCTGCCAGGGGAAAGAGCAGAACTGTGCCCCTTGTCATGGGTGTGAAGCACGGTGGTGGCAAGGCTCACCTCCCCAGGGGCTCCCAGGTGGCTCTGCTCATGACAGCGTGAGTGTGGCTGATGCTCTCCCTCCCTCCTAGATGCTTTCCCTCGAAGAGGATGTCACCGAAAAGCTGAGCCCTTCATTTGCAGACCTGTTCCGCACGCCGCGCCTGAGGAAGCGCACCTTCATCCTGATGTACCTGTGGTGAGGGGCGTTCCTGTGCGTCTCTCCAGGCAGAATCAGCACGCTCGCCCAAGCACTGGGCTATAGATTAGAGACAGTGGAATACTCAGGTGGAAAAAGAGAAAGGGAAAAAGAATTGTAATATAGTTGTGAGTGGTCAAAGAGCTCTTTTTGTTTCTCCCTTGGGGATTGAATAATAAGGAAAAGGCTTCATTTTAGTGAGGAGCATTTGTTACCTTTGGGAGATCACCAGTGGGATGAGAGAAATAGGATAAAGGGTTATCGGGGCTGCCTCCGTTCCACATGGTCTCATCTTCTGGGAATAGCCAAGTCTTGACTCGGCGTCAGAAGGTGGATGAGAGCTCCTGGAGCGTTCGAGGAGGAAGTTCCATTCCTCATATCTAAACACCCTAGAGACCCTACCTGAGCATCTCTGTGCATTTGTTACCTATTGACTAGAGAACGCACACCCACATGGACCCACGCACACACGCTTTGCACATTCCAGGGGTCTGCATGCTCCCCCAGCTGCTGTCACGAGCAGGAATCCCCTGCCCTGCTCCCTAGGAGGATGCTGGCTCACCTCCTCCGCACAAGGGCTTTCCCCTCAGCATACAGTGAGGGCCCCCCAACTGCACTCTGGGCCTGGCCCCTTCAGCGGGAGCAGCTCCGCTACCCAGGCACACTTGTTTGCTCTTCTATGTGAGGTTTTATTGGAACAAAGAGTTTGTAGTAAGTCAGTGCCTGGCATATTGCAGACCCTAAATCAATATTTGCTGAAAGTTGAATGAGTAAACACTGTGCCCCAGAATCTGTCCAGGTTCAGTGTGTCCTGTCCTGCCTCAACCTTCACCCTCCCTGTCTCCGAGTTTGCCGCTGGGGTCCTGCACCCAGCCACATGCTGGGCCCGTGAACCTTTGCAAATAGCCCCATGTACCTGGTGGGTTTCCATGGATACTCAGTGTTGAACTCAGCATGGAGGCTGGGACTGGCCGCTGCAGTGGAAGTAACTGCCCGCTCTGCTACGCTGTTCAGCTCCCCTCCCCAGCTCCGAGACTCCCCACAAGGCAGTGTTCTTGACTCTTCTGTTCTGTTACCCCCACATCCAGTCCTCTGGCAAGTTCCATCAACTGGCTTGGAAATGCCTTCAGAACCTGCTGCCTCCCATCTTGGGCACCCTGGGTTCCCTTGCTGGGGTTGTAGTAGCCCTGTCCTTGGCACTAATTCTTTGTATAAATGTCAGCTGTCTCATGGACAGTTCTGCAGCATCTCTTACCTGCATTACTGTAGGCACCTTCTGGGTGGCCTGCTGGCTTTACCCATGCCCCTCGGTGCTCCACAAAGCAGGCAAAGGCATCCCTTAGAGCTCAACAGACCTTGTCTCTCCCTGTTTACCCTCTGCTGGCTTCCTAATCACTGAGAATAAAGCCAGATCCTTTTCTGTGGCCCACAAGGCCTCACGCCTTTGGCCCCTGAACGCCCTTTTCTACTGTCCTGCTGGTTGTCATGACTGAGACTCGAAAGGTCTGTCCACCATGTCCTGGCTGTGTGACCTTCCAAAGGGCCTTAATCTCTCCGTGACTCAATTTCCCCCTCAGTAATGGGAGAAGTGATAGTACCTATCTCACAGATGTGTTGGGAGGATTAAGGAGATTATATGTGTAAATGACATAGAAGAGGGTACAGCATCCATGCAGGAAATGTTCAATGTCAATGTGGTTTTTTTTGTTATTTTAATACACACATGCAATTCATGAGCTCTGCCCACAGGTGGCAGCCCGGCACATTTGTTAACTGGCTTGTTGACAGGAAAATCAAGGTTACACGTTCCTTTCTCTTAAACCAGTTTCTTTATCAGTAATATGACTGCTGTCTTTAACTGGCTAAATGGTACAGAGGCACTCAGGCTAACCTCAACTCCTTGAGTTGCAGGCAAGCACCTTGTTTCTTGTTCTCTTGACCCTTTGTCCAATCAGGAATAATTTAGGACTAGAAACAAAAGCATCCCAATGCTTCTTTAGGCGAAATTTTATCAAAGAAGGATACATTCCTTAGCAACATGCATTTTCATCTCAGTTTTGGAGCTGATAGGCAATCTGCATGCTGGGATGAGACAGTAATTTCTTATTGACCCAAATCTGTTCTCACAATGTAAATATGACTGTAAAAGCTTTCTAGCTTCCAAATGATATTTTCCCCCCGAAGTGACACATGAGGCACCCTACATTTTGGCTCAGGTGAGAGTGATTTAGCTAGGCCTCGGGTCTGTGTGCCATATGCTGTAATGTTGCTACATTTTCTCAAATATGGACGGAGGGGGTGTGCAGTGAATGGAAGAGCGTAGGTGAATCAATAGCGCCCACTAAGGACAGCACAGTAAAGGGCCGGGAATGCCATGGTGCGGTTGGAAAGACCTGGCCCATGCCTCTGTCTGTTGTGCCCTGAGTCTTCTGAGTGCCCTGAGTGCATACTGTGTGCTGGGAACTATAATTGGCACTTTTGTACGCTAATTCAGTGAGTACTCAAGACAAACAGATGTGGGAGGTACTATTACAATCCCATTTACAGACGAGGGAACTGAGGCCCAGAGAGGTTAGTTAACTTCCTCAAGGTGACACAGCTCATAAAGCAATCCGACACCTGGCCCCTTACTTCCTGGTCTCTCCTGCCCACCTCCTCGTAGGCCTGTTGGGGTGTCAGATGAGGTACGCACGTGCAGGGCTTGGTGCAGAACCAGACATTTAAATCTGCAGTGAACAGTAGCCATCCTCACGTGCAGTCTCCAGGAGACTTGGAGGCATATCCTACAAGTCAGACTCTCACATCTATCATGAAAAAAATGTATCATTGGGGCCCTTCTAGGACACTCTTTCTCATTTTTACTCCCCTCTTCTCATATTGCTCTAGGGCATTCTAAACCCAGTGATTCATGCTCTTTCTCCATCTGCGAGGGGCTTTTTTTTTTTTTTTTTTTCTTCAGTCTCTGACTCATGCCTTTGACTTGAAACCTCCTCTTGGCTCAGGTTCACGGACTCTGTGCTCTATCAGGGGCTCATCCTGCACATGGGCGCCACCAGCGGGAACCTCTACCTGGATTTCCTTTACTCCGCTCTGGTCGAAATCCCGGGGGCCTTCATAGCCCTCATCACCATTGACCGCGTGGGCCGCATCTACCCCATGGCCATGTCAAATTTGTTGGCGGGGGCAGCCTGCCTCGTCATGATTTTTATCTCACCTGGTAAGTTGGTAAGTTGTCTGCTTTCATCATTTCCCAGGCAATCGAAGTGTGGGGAAAGTGTTGTGACTCTTTGATAAGCCTCTGGAATGAGAACAAAGATGAGGTGCTACCTTTGTCTACAAAGTTTTTTTAGATTTTAAATTGAGGGGCCGTGCACAGTGGCTCATGCCTGTAATCACAGTACTTTGAGAAGCCAAGGCAGGTGGATCACCTGAGGTCAGGAGTTCAAGACCAGCCTGGCCAACATGGTGAAACCCCATCTCTACTAAAAATACAAAATTAGCCGGGCTTGGTGGCGGGCGCCTGTAATCCCAGCTACTTGGGAGGCTGCTTGAACCCAGGAGGCGGAGGTTGCAGTGAGCCGAGATCGCACACTCCAGCTTGGGAGACAGAGTACAACTCCATCTCCCAAAAAACAAACAAACAAACAAACAAAAAAACCCCCAAAAACAGCAAAAAAAAAAAAAATTAAATTGAGTTTTAACATACATACAATCAGCAAACTATAAGTGCATGACTCCATGAGTTTTTAAAAATGTGTACACCCGGGCAGCATGATCCACGTAAAGATGGGGAACCTTTCCAACTTCTCCAAAGCCTCCCTCAGGCTCCTTCACAACAACCCCTGCCACCCCTCCAAGGTCACCACTACTCTGCCCTTTGTCAGCACAGATTGTGCCTGTTCTTGAGCTTCATATAGATGGCACCATACCAAATATACTGTTTTTGTTATTGTTGTTGTGTTTTGAGACAGAATCTTGCTCTGTTATTCAGGCTGGAGTTCAGTGGTGCAATCACAGCTCACTGCAACCTTGAACTCTTGGGCTCAAGGGATCCTCCCGCCTCAGCCTCCTCAGTAGCTGGGACTACAGGCGTGAGCCACTATGCCCGGTTAATGTTTTTATTTTTTGTAGAGATGGGGTCTTACTATGTTGCCCAAGCTGGTCTCAAACTCCTGGGCTCAAGCAATCCTCCCACCTCAGCCTTTCAAAGTGTTGGGATTATAGGCATGAGCCATTCATCATTGCACCTATGAGACCCACCCATGTTGTCACATGAGAGTGTAGTTGGTACTTCAAACAAAATTATTGTGTAGGATTCCACTGTATGAATATGACACTCTGCATCCCTTCCACTGTTGATTGTCACTTGTGTTGCTTCCAATGTTTGCCACTTATTGGGACTAAAATCATCCTTGCACGTATCTTTGGGCAGGCACATGCTTTCATTTCCCTTGGGTACAGGTCTGTGAGTACACTTGCTGGGTCCCAGGGAGGCATATGTTTAGCTCTAGCAGACACTGCCAAACAGCTTTCCAAAGTGGTTAGACCATTTTATACTCCTCCCAGGAACACATGGGAGCTCCGATTACTCCAGATCCTCCCAACACTTGATCTGGCTCATCTTTTTAAGAGTGGCCATTTTGGTGGATGTATACTTTAGTCTGTAATTCTTACAATCAAAGATAAACCAAGCTACATTTAAACCTAAAGCAGATTAACTTCAGTCAGTTTTAATTTGAGTACGTAAATTGCCTTTCACATTCATTGCTCTTGGATATGTTGTAAAATAAATACAAGGGCAGATCTGCTCTTTTCTCAGTTTTTACTGCGTGTGCTCTGCACTTGCTGATTTAGTGAGTCATTTTGGCAGGCTTTCGTGCAGGGTATTGTAGAGACTGTTCTGTGAAATCTGTATGCCCAAGAACTAGGCTGTGTAGATCAGGCTGGAAAGAAAAAGGGTTGGGGAAAGAAAGCTCAGTTTTCTTTTCCCTTTTTTTCATGGAGAAAGAACAGAGAACACAGGAAAAGGGGCAGCATGGATCTGAAATAGATTTTGCTCACTTTCTTCCCAATCTCTCTGTTTCTGGAATCCTGGGTAAGATGTGATGGATGGGCATACTTTTAAAAAGTTCACAGCACTGAGTGCCAAGAAGGAGGGCCATCGAGGGCTAAGTCCATTCAGTTGTCACCTGGACAGAGCCCAGGCATCGTCCCCTCCCCAGCCCCCTCCTCCCAGCTCCTGTCCTCCCCTCGTCCCTCTGTCTTAGTCCTTATCACATTTTAGGACAGTCATTCATTCAACCCGCAGGAAATATCTCCAGGCCTTCTATATGGCTGGCAGGTATCTAGGTCCTAGGATTTCAACCATGAGCGAAGCAGAGAGAGTTCCTGCTCCATGGAGCTGACATTCCAGAGGGAAAAGAGAAGGATGTCAGTGCTTTCTACAATGGGCACGGGAGGCCTGAAGAGGCCTAAATGAAGTGGGAAGAGCCATGTAAAAATCTGGGGAGAGTTTTCTGACACGTGCAAGGCCCTTGGGGTGAGAAGAATGTGGCATTGGAGGGACTGCTCGGGATCTAGGGACAAGGGTCAGGCGAGCTCGTGGGGAGCAGTGGAGTGAGGCGTGGAGTGAGTTGGGAAGTAGCCAGCTGTGGACTTTATCCCAAGAGTGGTAGGAAACCACTGGTGGCTTTGAGCAGGGGTGGACTTGACCCAACTCCAGTCTGAACTGGGTCCCTCTGGCTGCTGTGATGAGCGGCCCTGGGGGTGCAGAGTGGAGGCATGTTCAGTTCTCTGAGGCCAGGGATGCTGTTTACCTCTGGTCAAGCATCACCAGGCTAAAGACCTGTGAATGAGGACCTCCCTCGAGGCATTGGAGTGAACTCCTTGCCTTTTATCTTTTAGAAGCTAGATGAGGTGTGGTCCTTAACAGAAGGCTCAGCTTGGCTTCTCTATCAGGGCTGAGAGCTCCAGGAGGCAGAGAGACTGTGTTGCACCCATGAGACGGGTGAGGGGCACTCTCATTTGGACCCTCACACTGGCTGAGTGAGATGATACAAGATTTCCATAAATAGCCAGTATCTGGGGACAAGGGTCAAGCTGACATCGTGTCTGTGACCCCAGAGGCCTTTATAGTGAGCTGGTGTGTCACAGGGTTACTTGCATTTCAGTGCTGGGGGTAACCCATGCAGAGCAGATGATGGTGGTTATTAAGGATCTGAGCTTCTTTCCAATGAAGCCAAATTCTTTGATCATTCTCAATAGGGAGAGGGCTTTCTGGGCCTTCAGGTGGTCGAGAACCCCACAGCAGCCTGCCAGCGTGAAACAAGGGCTCGCTTCCCTCATTCTCAGCCTCTGAGACTATTATGAAAGGTGTTTTGGTTAAAACTGTATTGGAAACAAATATTAAATTGAGGATTAGAAATCTGTTTTGTTAGTTTGAGAACTACTACTAGAGGGATTATGTTTATTGAGTGCTTTCTGTGTTTCAGGCACTGAACTAGAATGGATACTATCATATAATAAATAAAAAGCCAACTTTAAAATTCTGTGGTCACAGTGGACATTTGACATACATCAGCTCTAAGTCTCATGATGATCTATAAGCTGGGTGTCATTATTCCCATTTTACAGCCCAGGAAACCAAGCTGAGATTCAAAAAGCCCATTCTTTCCCCTGTTCAATGGAGTCTTCTTGAATATGTCATCGTCAACTCCCCAAATCTCTTGAGACTCAGTTTACTTATCTAAAAATGAAAAAGTTAGATAAGACAAACTTCCAGGCCCCACCAGCTCTAATAGTCCAAGCATGACCCACCATGGCCTCTCACAGTAACTCAGGGAACGAAGCCCCCATCCACCACCCACACCCTCTTTGTACTTCCTTTCCAGACCTGCACTGGTTAAACATCATAATCATGTGTGTTGGCCGAATGGGAATCACCATTGCAATACAAATGATCTGCCTGGTGAATGCTGAGCTGTACCCCACATTCGTCAGGTGAGTGCATGGAACAGGGGTAGCCAGTGAAATGGCTGTGAACCCACCAGCTCAGTGGGAACCAACATCTCCAAGGTGCTTCCTAAAGATGCAGCCAAGCATTGCTCAGTTTGGACATTGAGTGGCATTGTTAAGAAATCACGTTCAGAGAGATGGGGTTAAGCATCAAGAGAGGGTCAACCCATAATTATAGCAGAGAATGTGAAAGGGGACCCTGTGAGCTGATGGATGGGGTCAAAGTTGTTCTGTACATACAACAAGTACAAGAACAAAAGGTGTAGAGAAGTGGGTACTGGACAGGGACTTGGGAAACCTGTGTTGTAGCCCTGTCCTTGGCACTAATTGATTGTATAAACATCAGCCATTTCATTGACACTTCTGGGCATCATTTTCTTAAACAGCTGACATTTGTATAGTGATACGCGAGTATTTCCATACATGTGATTCCCTTAAATTTGTTCTTGGGTATGATCATCCCCATATTACATATGAGGAAGCTGTGATTTAGAAAGGGAAAGAAGCGTTGTAGGGGTCAGACAGCTAGAAAGAAGCAGGGCTGGGGCAAGGACCACATCTTCCTGACCTGGAACCCTGTGGTTTTTCCATTATGGCACATTACTGTTCTGTAAACTGAGGAACTTTTCAAAATTGTGGTAAAATATACATAATATGAAATTTACTATCTTAGCCACTTTTAAGTGTACAGTTGAGTAGTGTTAAGTACCTTCACACAACCAAGCTCCAGAACTCTTCATCTTGCAAAACGGAAACTCTGTACTCATTAAACAGTAACTCCCCATACTCTCCACCCTCCAGCTCCTGACAACCGCCTGTCTACTTTCTGTTTCTATGAGTTTGGTTACTTTAGGTACCTCATATAAGTGGAATCATATAGTATTTGTCTTTGTATGACTGGCTTAGATCACTTAGTGTGATGGCCTCAAGGTTCATGTATGTTGTAGCATGTGCCAAAATTGTCTTCTTTTTAAAGGCTGAGTAATATTCCATTGTACATATATACCACATTTTGTTTATCCATTCATCTGTCAATGGACACTTGGGATGCTCCACTTCTTGGCTATTGTGAATAATACTGCTATGGACATGAATGTACAAATATCTCTTCAAGATATCTTTCAATTCTTTGGGGTGGAATATCCAAAAGTGGAATTACTGGATCATAATCTAATTCTATTATTAGTTTTTTGAAGGAACGGCTGTATTTTTTTTCCATAACGGCTACACTATTTTACATTCCCACCAACAGTTCACAAAGGTTCCAATTCCTCCACATCCTTGCCAACACTTGTTAATTTCTGTTGGTCTTTTTGATAGTAGCCATCCTAATGGGTTTGAAGTGTTATCTCATTGTGGTTTTGATTTCTCTGATGATTAATTATGTTGATCATCTTTTCATGTGCTTGTTGGCTATTTGTGTATTTTCTTTGGAGAAATGTCTACTCAAGTCCTTTCCCCATTTTTGAACTGGTTTTGTTGTTCTTGAGTTGTAGCAATGGTTTATATAATCTGGAGATTAACTCTTTATCAGGTACAAAATCTGCAAATATTTCAGCCCATTCCATAGGTTACCTTTTCATTCTGTTGATTGTGACCTTTGATGCACAGAAGTTTTTGATTGTGATGTAGTCTAATTTATCTCTTTTTACTTTTGTTGCCTTTTCTTTTGGTGCTGAAGAACTTTTTTTTTTTTAATCAAGTTTATTGAGGTACAATTGACAGAGTAAAATTCACTGCTTCTAACATGCAGTTAGATTAGTTTGACGACACACACACACACATACACTCACACACACGTATATATAGTCATTTAGCCACTGCCATGATGAAAATAGAGAATATTTCCATCACCCCCAAAAGGTTCTTCATGTCTCTTTGCAGTTAATACCCTTTTCTTCTCACCTCCAGACCATGCAGTTTTAGCTTTTCCAGAATGAGCTGTAAATGTAATAATAGGGCACGTCACCTTTTGTGTTTGGCTTCCTTCACTTAGCATGATGAAACTCACCCACTTGTTGGATGTATCAGTGTTTTGCTTGTTGTTGCTGTATAGTACTCCAGCATGTGAATGTCAGTGTGCCACAATTCATACACTGTTTAGCTATTCACCACTTGAGGGACATTTGAACGGCTTCCTTCAGAGGGATTCTGATGCAGATGCTATAGACATTTGGGTACAGGCCTTTGAGTGGATACATGTTTTCATTTACGTTGGGTTAAAAACTCAGGAGTGGGATTGTTAGGTCATATGGTAAGTGTGTGTTTAATTCTATGAGAAACTGTCAGACTGTCAGACCGTTTTCCGAAGTGGCTGTGCCATCTTGCGTTCCCACCAGCCATGTTTGAGGAATCCTGTCGTTCCACATTCTCATCAGTGTTTGGTGTTGTCAGCTTTTTTTTTTTTTGAGATGGAGTTTCACTCTTGTTGCCCAGGCTGGAGTGCAGTGGCGTGATCTCGGCTCACTGCAACCTCTGCCTCCCAGGTTCAAACGATTCTCTTGACTCAGCCTTTTGAGTAGCTGGGACTACAGGCGTGCACCACTGCGCCTGGCTAATTTTTTGTACTTTTAGTAGAGACAGGGTTTCACCATGTTGGCCAGGCTGGTCTTGAACTCCTGACCTCAGATGATCTGCCCTCCTTGGCCTCCCAAAATGTTGGGATTACAGGTGTGAGCCACCACACCTGGTCTGGTGTCAGCTTTCTAAAAGTCATTTTGGTAGGTAATGGTATTATTGTGACTTGACTTTTCCTAATTACTGATAATGTTGAGTATCTTTGTCTGTACTTAATTGCCTTCTGTATCTTGGAAGACTTAGTTTTAAATGAAGATTATTTTAATTGTAAAAGTAAACACTTTACTTAAAGTTCTAAGAAATTCTAGTTTGTTAGAAATTCCGTATGTTACTTAAACTCTTTTTCCTCTGTATACATTGTTTCTTCTCCTTATGTCATCATACCAGTAGTTTCTAGGAAATACCCCAGCTCCCTAATCTCATCTTATACATGCGCAGTGCTCTGAGCCCTTCAGTAAAGCCAGAAGGCACCAGGATGGCCTTGATTCACTCTTTCCTGACTAATCCTTTATTAACAGGCCATGTCTGAGACTCTCATTGGTAAAAAGTTACTGGGACTGAGTACAGGAGATGAAGGCATATTAAAAAGAAAACCTTCTATATTTGGCAGTTCTGAGCCCAGAGTCTAAAATAGCCAGGCCAAACAATTCCATTGTCATGGCCACTGGGCCAAGGGGACTGACTCAAAATGTAAACTGTGAAAGGTACTGAGTGTGTAGTTCTCTAGGGAGAAAGGCCAAGCAACCCATCCCCGAGGAGCCCTCGACCACTGCTCAGAGAGCTGGTGGGAGAATCATTCTCATTCACTAGGGAGGGAAGCTAGATGTTCAGAAAAAACTCTCAACTTCTTATGTACACACGCGCACACACACAAGGTAAGGCAGTCATTCAAGTTCCAATATTTCTAATCAATTGAATCAAATTTAATTTGCAGAGAAGGAATAATTTCTGTGACTTTATTACTTTATAAGCACTCCAAGTTTAGACAGTCTCTATGTAAACCATTCTGACCCTGCCTCCGTTCCAGGCAGTTTCAGAGTTGGACTGCTCTGCTCCTCTTCACTTTGTGCAGCACGTGTTGTAAGAACATTCATTTGGCATTAATACCCACTGCCTTGTTTTGAAAATGATCTTTCCATTTTTATCTCCTCACCTTCTCATGAGCTCCTTGAAAACAGAAACCACATGTCATGTCATACTTCTCTGTACCTCACAGAACTCTTCCACAGCCAGACTCACTACATGCTGTAGAATGACTCAATGAATGAAGTACCGCAAACATCTGAATTTTAAATAAGGGGCCTAGTTCCCTACTTCTTCTAGCTTCTGTGTGCTTGCCATTTTTTTCCTTTTAACAATAATTTTTTAAAAATAGTAAAAAATAACTGTGTCTTTTCTTGCACCTCTTGGAAATCACACAAAAGCTATTAGAAGAATGAGGGATAATGCAAATGTGTTTGAAACTGTGATAACATGAAAAGACAATCTACAAGAGGAAGGGCTGCCTAGTGTGTGAGGTCTAAGGGAGTCCGAGAAGATTCCAGGAAAGGACCCCTGTGACAGCAAATCGTAGGCGAGGCCAGCAGCTTTCCAAAGTAGACAGCGTGACTTGAAGGGTGTGATCCATGGTCCCTTGTTTGGAGAAACAGAATGATGGGTGCATGGGCTGGAGGTGGAAGCTCCCTTCCCTGGATGTTGTATGGCTGAAGGTGAAGCAGGGAGGGCAAGGCTGTAAAAGAAGATATGCAGGAACTTTCAGACAGCAGTTACTGAGAGGCGGGTGGAAGAGACTAGCTCCACACCATCAGCCCCTGTAGATCAGGAATAAGTGAGCCAAAAAAATCTAATCATATACAACCCTGATCAAAGAAAGAATTTCTACTAGCCCAGAACATGGCCTGGCTGCTTCCCCACAAACCCTTCTAGAAATGGCTGATAGAGGAAGAAATAACAGTATGAAAAGATGAGTAATAAACAAAAAAGTAATTCATTCAGGAGGTACACAAACATATCATGAGATAAAGGGGGAAAGGAGCAGAAAAAGCAAAAGGCAAATGAAGAACATGTACCAGAAAAATGCTGTAACAACATAGATCAAAGTTCTAACTACATATACTACCAAAATGTAAAGTATTAATAAATCAGTCATCTCTATAAAAATAAGACTTTAAAGCAGAGGTATAGTTCTAGAGAGAATATCTGGCAAGACAATAGAAGACACTGAAGCTGTCTTAAGAAAGAAACGAAAAAGAAAAATTAAGAAGTGGAGAAATTCTTGCATTTGAGAAATGAAAAACCAATTTGAACACAATGCAAAGGAGAATAGATTCAGTGAGGGAAAGGCAAGACAGGACTAAGAGTTGCAAAGTAAAATGGAAATAAGAAATAAGCAGAGTTTAATCCAGGCATGGTGGCTAACGCCTGTAATCCCTCACTTTGGGAGGCTGAGGTGGGCAGATCACTTGAAGCCAGGAGTTCGAGACCAGCCTGGCCAACATGGTGAAACCCTGTCTCTACTAAAATTACAAAAATTAACTGGGCATGGTAGTGCATGCCTATAGTCCAAGCTACTCAGCAGGGTGAGGCAGGAGAATCACTTGAACCCAGGAGGTGGAGGTTGCAGTGAGACAAGATCGAGCCACTGCACTCCAGCCCGGGCAGGGAGACTTTGTCTCAAAAAAGAAGAAGAAAAAAAAAAAAAAAGAAATAAGAAATAAGTAGAGTTTCAAAGGTTCTATGCATGTATGTATGTATATAGTCCGTAAACTTTTTGGTTAAAAAAAAAAAAGATATATATATATACACCCCCTGCCCACACACATACGCAATAAATATACTTCGGGAATACATCTGAAAATAAAAGAATGCTTGAATCTATAAATTAAAGGGACACATGTAACAGAAAAAACTGACCCAGTGAACAATTATTAGGACATATTTTTATTTGGTTACTATACTTTAAAGATAGAGAAAGAGTCACCAAGTAGCCAGGCTGAAAGTTTGTCACCTATATAAGAAGAACAAATTGTTATCATTTGATGAAGACAGTCAATGCCTGCAGTGACCTCAAGAAAATAAAGTGCAATCCAGTGATTTTTATTATTGTTTTTTTGAGACAGGCTGGAGTGCAGTGGCATGATCTCGGCTCACTGCAACCCCTGCCTCCCCACTTCAAGTGATTCTCCTGCCTCAGCCTCCTGAGTAGCTGGGATTACAGGCGTCCACCACCACGCCCAGCTAATTTTGGTATTTTTAGGAGAGATGGGGTTGGTCAAGCTGTTCTCGAACTCCTGACCTTAGAAGATCTGCCTGCCTCTGACTCCCAAAGTGCTAGGATTACAGATGTTAGCCATCACGCGCGAATCCAGTGAATTTTATCCAACCAAGCTCTCATTTCTATATAGAAGCAATAGCCAATCATTTAAAAATATCTCAAATAATATGGTTCCTATGATCCTTTCCCAAAAAAGTTGTTAGAAACAAAATTCAGTAAGTACAGTGACGAATGAAGTAATGTGTCAGAATTATTGGTAGTGATCATTGAAATTGATATTAAAACGAGTGTGTTTTTGGCTACAAAACAATATAATATCACAAATCTGAAAATAAAGAAATGTTATAACTCACAAAGACTGAAAAGAGAAAAGAGAAAGAATGTTGGAGATGGTGTAATACACTGATTTCTTCAATACACTTGTTTTTTGGAAAAGTGTATCCTTAAAAACTGACAAGTATAATTAGTTCAGCAGCAATATATTTTTAAAAACTGATAAGTAGTATCCTAGGCATATGTTAAGATATAAAAGAAAACACTAAAAGTAATGATAGAATCAACTAAATCAGGTCATGGAGGGATGGTTTGAGGGGGAAGTAGAAATATACTAATTTTATGATTGTTCATAATAGGAAGTTAATCAATACTGTCTAAAGAAATAGGATATTAATTATATAAGGTTATACAGTAATCATTTGACTAAAAATACAGCCCTTCCAAATGATCAGGAAAAATACAGATAACCAACACATACTGAAAATAAAAGACACCAGAAGCAATAAAAAGCCCTGGTGTGAATAGGTGATAGAATATGAATAGATGACAGCATTGATATGACAGAACTGACATGGTAGAATTAAGACGAAACATTTCCGACATTTAAATAAATGAAAAGAGGCTTAACTCCTTTATTGGAAAAAATGAGATGACTCCCTAGCTTGATTACAAAGTAAAATCCAACAATATGCTGCTATATGAAGTATAACTTTTCCTGAGAAAAGCTAAAAAAGAAAGAATGCACAAAAGCATACTAGGGAAATATATAGCAAGTGTCATAATCTAATTAAAGTTGAATTTATGGGAAAAGGTGCTAAATAAGATAAGGAGGGCCCTAAATAATGATAAAGAAGGAATCCACAATGGTTTTAAAGGGGGATTTTTAAAAACATTTAACAAATAGAAAATTCCAATAATATTTAAATTGCTCTAAAGCATAGAAAAAGAAGAAAATTTTCCAACTTTAAAAAATAAAATTAGCGTAATATTGGTACCAAAGAACAACAAAGATAAAGGAAACAAGGAAACTACAGACATATATTTATGAATATGGATCTAGAAATCCTAAACAATATATTATCAAACAGTGGAGAACATTAAAATAATTACTATTCTATGTCTTAGATGAATTATTCCAGGAGTGCAAAGATGGCTGAGTTTTAGAAAACCTCACAGTATAAATCATGTTTATTAGTCAAAAGAGAAAAATTATATTATTATCTCCATTGATACTGAAAGGCATTCAATAAAATTTCCACCTCTACGTTTGTTTTAAAAATTTCTAAGAGATGATATAAGCATTTTTATCATCAGGATATAGGTCATGGGGGGAGGGATTGGGAAAGAAATATAAATATATGAATTTTGTAATTAGTCATAGTAGGGAGTAAGAAATTATGCAAATAATTGCAATAGAAGAAGCTTAAAAGTAATACCCGAAAGGATAGAACTTTTCCTGATTTATTATTCCTATTTTAATCATGTTTTCAAAACAAAGCTCAAGATTGTTTCTAGGAATACAAAATCGAGCATGGAACAAAGTGAAATTTACAATTTCTGACATCCAATAAAAAATTACCAGGCATACAAAGAAGTAGGAAAAGATAACCTATCTTGAGGAGAAAAATAAATCAATTCAAACTGACCTAGAAATGGCACAGATGGTAGAATTAGTGGACATGAACATTAGAACAGTTATGATACCTATATTCTCTATGTTTAAGGTCCTAGAGTAAAGATTGAGCATGTTAAGTAGATGCAAGGAAAAAAAATTTAAGTCCCAAATTAAACTTCTAGAGATAAAAACACAATGTCTGAGATGAAAAATACACCACATGAGTTAACAGCAGATTAAACATTATGGAAGAAAATATTAGTGAACTTGAAGATAGCAATTGAAACTATCAAAAAGGAAAGACAGAGAGAATCAGTGAGCTGTGATACAATTCAATGAATGTAATTGGAGTCTGTAGAAGTGAGTAGGAGGGGTTAATAGAGAGAGAAATAATGCTCAAAATTTCTTCAAATTTGATGAAAACTTCCAATACATAGATCTAACAATCTCAATAAATACTAACCACAAAAAAACATCAAGAAAGGCACATCATAAAAATCTTAAAAAGACCAGCCTGGGCAACATGGTGAAACCTTCTTTCTACAAAATATACAAAAATTAGCTGGGTGTGGTGGTGCATGCATGTAGTCTCAGCTACTATAGAGGCTGAGGTAGGAGGCTTGCTTGAGCCCAGGAGGTGGAGGTTGCAATGAGCCAAGGTCACGCCACTGCACTCCATCCTGGGCAACAGGGCAAGACCCTGTCTCAAAACAAAAACAAAAACAAAACAAAAACCTTAAAAAGGAATCAGAGAAAAAAGATATCACAAATAGGAACAAAGATAAGAATGACAGAAAATTTCTCATTGGAAATGATACAAACAAGAAGGTGGTAGAACATCTTTAAAGTACTGAAAGAAAGAAAAATAAACTGCCAATCTAAAATTCTTGACCCAGCAAAAATACTTTCAAAAATGAATGGAAAATAAAGACTTTTTCAAACTTACAAAGTCTGAAAGAATTAATCACCAGCAGACTTATACTACAGGAAATATTAGTCTTGAAGATCTTTCAGAAAAAATGAAAACAGTATCAGATGGAAATCTATATCTACACAAAAAAATGAAGAGCACTGAAAATGATAACTACGTGAGTAAATGGAAATTTTTTTTTTCTGGTTATTTTCTTTAAAAGACAATGAACTGTTTAAAGCAGGCATTGGCAAACTTTTCCAGTACAGAGCTGGATAGCTAATGTTTTAGGCTTTGTGGATCACATACAGTCTCTGTTGCATATTATTCTTTCTTTCTTTCTTTCTTTCTTTCTTTCTTTCTTTCTTTCTTTCTTTCTTTCTTTCTTTCTTTCTTTTTTTGAAATGGAGTCTCGCTCTGTCACCCAGGCGGGAGTGCAGTGGTGCGATCTTGGCTTACTGCAAGCTCTACCTCCCAGGTTCACACCATTCTCCTGCCTCAGCCTCCCAAGTAGCTGGGACTACAGGCACCTGCCACCACGCCTGGCTAATTTTATTTATTTATTTATTTTGTATATTTTTAGTAGAGAAAGGGTTTCACCATGTTAGCCAGGATGGTCTTGATCTCCTGACCTCGTGATCCACCCTCCTTGGCCTCCCAAAGTGCTGGGATTACAGCCGTGAGTCACCGCGCCTGGCCTAAAAAACCTTTTAATCATGTAAAAACCATTTCTAACTCAAAGCTAAAAATGCTGTCTTTGGCCTGTGGGCTGTAGTTTGCCAATCAAAACAATAATCACAATGTGTTGTGCAAAGGCTGGGAGGGAAGAAACACAAGTATACTATTGTAAGGTTCACATATAATCTATGAATGTTACAATATTACTTGAAGTTACTGTGATCAAAGAGTTAGGTTTTCTGTAAACCTAAATCAAAAATTAAAAAACAAAATAATTATAGCTATTAAGTCAACACAGAAGATAATGTGAAATCATTTAAAATAATTTATAAGAAGGCAGAAAAAGAAATAAAGGGTTACAGAGGACAAACAGAACAAAAAGAAAACAAATAGCAAGATGATAGATTTAAACTCAATCATATCAGTAATCACAAGAAATATAAATGGTCTAGACACTCCAGTTAAAAGGAAGAGATTATCAGATTGGACAAAAAAGTGAAACACAACCCCATGCTGTCTACAAGAAACTGACTTTAAATATAAGGGGAGAAAGATAGTTTAAAACGAAAGGATGGAGAAGGATATTTTATGCTAATACTAATCAAAAGAAAGCTGGAGAGGCTATAGTAATATCAGATAGTGTAGATTTCAGAGCAAAGAACATTACCAGAGATGAAGAGGGTCATTTCAAGTAGATAGTTTCTCTACATGTTTCCCCACTAACTTTCTTTCTTCGATTCCTCAATACCTTCTATCTACCCTTCCCTATGTTTCCATGCATCAGGGGTTCTCTAGTGGAGACTCTTTTCCTCCCATCTCTTAACATCTGCTCTGAGCATCCCCAGCAACTCATCAGGTGGAAAAAGCTACTAGTCACAGTTTAAATCTCATTCTCCCAAGAAAATGCTCATCTTAGCACAGACCAAAGCTTGCAGTCACAGGAAAGGAGCTCTAAGTTAGAATTTCAATGATTAGTCTTCTCTTTCTCAACAACTACAAATTCAGCACCAGATTATCCTCATCAGCACTGCAGATCCCCCATGGTGCTAGTGCTAGAAGCTGGAATCCATGTTTTTCTTGGGAAAATCTACTTAAGGCCTGTTGCCCTGTGCTGCAAATCTCTGGGTCACATGCATAAGGAACCACATTCATTGACCCTTAACCAATGAACGCCAGTGGCAGATCCCTCATTCTGATTAGGTCTCCTTTCTTCCCCATGTGCCTCCTCTAAGGGTCACTTGTTGGCTATTGAGGTGATGGGTTGGTTAGTCAGTCCCTGGTGCACATCAGTCAGGATTTCCTTCCTGGCTTGACCCTGCTCCCAGGGTCTTAGGGCTGGGAAGGGCCCAAATCCCACTAAACTCAGTCACTCCCAGACATTGTGCTTTCCCACAGGTGATGACAGGTCATGGACCTAGAACAGGAGTGAGGTAAAATTGAAGTTTAGAGCAGGGAGCATGTGTTCTTTTTATCTTTGTAAGGCTTGTAGCAATTCTTCAGGTATTATACACCTAAGAGCTAAATATTTGAATGTGTAGTTAAAAAGAGGTAGGCTCTCTGCCATTGCATGGGCAACGGATGGCTCATACCCACTTTCACTCTAGCCTGTTACCTCCTCTCAATACCCTCTGGGCTGGTCCTCATGGTTCCTCCTGACCCCTGCAGTTTTCTTCTGAGGTGCTGAGCACTGGACAGCCACAGCAAGCTGCAGGTATTGGCATTGTACTTGTTTTAGCATCAGGTGAACATTTGGAAAAGTGAATCACAGAATTATCGTATTTTTTGTCCTTTGTATTTTATCAGGAACCTCGGAGTGATGGTGTGTTCCTCCCTGTGTGACATAGGTGGGATAATCACCCCCTTCATAGTCTTCAGGCTGAGGGAGGTCTGGCAAGCCTTGCCCCTCATTTTGTTTGGTAAGATTTTGTGGAGCATATATCATTCCTTCTTTTGCAGCTCGGCAGTGGGCTCAGCATGGGTGGAACTGAGTGTGAGTACTCAGTCGTATTTGTTGAGTGAAGGGAATGATATCTCTCAGTGAGTTTACAGAAGGCAAGGATGATGCATGCTCTTGGGATGTCTTCTGGCTTATTCTGTCTTGCTTCATGGGAAAGATAAGAATCCATTCCTAGGATATGGGTCAGGGATTTCCATCCTCTGGCTCTGGACTCCAATCATTCATACTATAGGACAGAATCTGAGAGACCTTTTGACAGTCTCCTGATAAATCTGATCACCAATTCTTACACATTTAACACACAATTGCTAGAGTCTTGAAGATGCTGAATTATCACCTGTCTTCTGTATCTAGATCTTAACAATTGAGAACACTCACAAGGAGATGAGTGGGAATCAAAGTTCCGTATCAGCTTTCTTCCTGATACAGTTGGATGAGAGAAGGGAGAGGGGATTCCTACTTATCTCTCCAAACCTAGGCCAGAGAACTTCCAAGACCCTGCTTACCCACTTGATAGAAGACAACAGTTGCTGGTTGTTTGCAGAGCCAGCCATGCCTGGGCACAGGTGAATACAAAAAGAGGGGTGGAGGAAGAGATAGGGAAAGGGAGAAAGGAAGAAGGAGGGAGAAAGGGAAGTAGAAGGCAAAGGGAAAAAGGAGGGAGAAAAGAGTGATGGGAGGGGTCCACCCTGCCCACATATAGACTGTGCTCTATAGCTAATTCTATGTGTATATGTACCCCAACAACAAATCCCCAAATACTTAAACATCAGTTACTATGGAACTTTACACTTCTATAGAAGTAAAATGAAGGCAATGTTTCCTTTACGTACTCTGACATTTCCCCAGTTATCCTATTGTTTTAATTTTCTTTTATAAATGTTCCTAACTTTTTTTCTTTTTAAAAAATAGTATCTCTCCCATCTGTGTTGTCTCTTCCTCTCTTTGGCTGGCTGTGATTATTTCTGTAAATGACATTGGCTGTGCTCTAATGGCTCCATTTGCAATCTGTTTCCTTTGAAGCGGTGTTGGGCCTGCTTGCCGCGGGAGTGACGCTACTTCTTCCAGAGACCAAGGGGGTCGCTTTGCCAGAGACCATGAAGGACGCCGAGAACCTTGGGAGGTGAAGCCCATGGTGCCCAGGACTCCGAGGCCCATGAGTCTGACACGCCCTCCAAAAGGGGCCTAATATCACTCCACATTCTCCATTTCCTCTATCTTAAAAGTTTAGGAGAGCTTTACAGATATTTGTATGTCTTTTTATTACTCCCAGAACTGCTATGAGGAAAAAAACCCATGATAGCTACTGACTTTATGTAAGAAAATAATGAAGAGCATGACTTGACAGCTATCTGTTCTCAAGTGCATGGCAGAGAATGATTTGTCTGTAATGTTGGCTGTGGTGCACCAAGATCCCTAGCTCACCCCAAGAGTTAATGACTCTGAGTGGGGAACATTTTAAAATCAATCTTCTGTCCTCTGAGCAATTGTTGTCTCAGATTCTTTAGTAACTTTGTTCACAAAATTCTTTTGACAGAGAGCAAGGTTTGCTGGAGTTTCATATTCTAGTCTTAGAGCAATAAAAAAGGAAAGGAAGGAACAGTGCTTGATGAGGTGATCTCTCTCAAGATCCTTTACAGGCTCAGTTCTGTGGATTCCACAGCAAGGATGCATGTGTCCTCGTGAATAGAGAGAGAAAAGTCTATGCAGTCCTACAGACTTACGATTGAACCTAGGTCACCTGACTCAGTAGGCCATGTGACTTTGGGAATGTCATTGAACCCTATGGAGCTTTATTTTTCATTTAATTTCCATGCCTGCAAAATAGTCACAATAATACTTAATTTACAGAGTTTCTATAAAGATCTAATCAGATTAAGTAGGTGACAGTGACTAATCCATTGCCTGGCACATAGCAGGTGTTCAATAGAGCTCAGATTTTCTCCATTCTTCTTGCAAATCGTGCTATGTCCCCAGTGATCCTCCAAACTAAGTGTGCAGAAGAAGCACAAAAGGAACATGCTAAAATGCTAAATTCCTTGGCCTTCTTGGTTTTTGGTTTAGAATGTGAATGATGCAACTCAGGAATCTGTTTTAATAATCTCTGCCAACAATGCACATGCAGATAGGCACTCTGTACACTTCACTTGGGGAAATTCTAGATTTCTCAGTACTGATAAGGGCAAAACACTATTTTAACAGTAAATGCATTTTCTAGTTGCTGATGATTTCCTTCTTTTTGATCCCAAGTGTTGTGTTATCTGATTTAAAGATATTTCATTCTAGTGTGTTAACAGCCACTTGGTTGTCTTTTTTTTCTTTTTTTTGACTTGGAGTTTCCCTCTTGTTGCCCTGGCTGGAGTGCAATGGCACTACCTTGGCTCACCACAACCTCCGCCTCCCAGGTTCAAGCGATTCTCCTGCCTCAGCCTCCTGAGTAGCTGGGATTACAGGCATGTGCCACCATGCCTGGCTAATTTATTATTTTTAGTACAGACAGGTTTTCTCCATGTTGGTCAGGCTGGTCTCGAACTCCTGACTTCAGGTGATCCGCCCATCTCAGCCTCCCAAAGTGTTGGGATTACAGGCGTGAGCCACCGTGCCTGGCCTGGTAGTCTTTTAAGATGTTCTGTTTAATCCCTTCACTCTCTCATCCTAATCATTCCCGCCCTGCCAGGGGAGGCAGGTGCTGCTGCCCAGAGCCCTGAACCCCCTGTGCATCCTTGGTTCTTGACAGTACTCTTCACACGTTATAATAATTGTTTATTTCATTGTCTGTCTTCTCTGCTATACCAATTCCATAAATAGTAGCCACAGTCTATGGCCAGAGTGATCATGTTGATTACTCCTTCTTCCCCACTTGCAAGGGGAGAATGTCAGGAATGGAAGTGACTGTAACTCTAGCTAAGCTTCACTGTGTGTGTGTCAGCCTCCCTGAAAGCTCATGTGCATTTCACCGAATCCTCCCAAAACATTGGGAGGCAGCTTCTATGGTTATCAGACCCATTCCACAGATGAAGGAGATAATGACATGTATCCCCAAAGTCACCGGATTCAAAATGAGTTAGCCAGGAACATGATCAACCTTCTACTTCAGGGCTTGTCTCTTTCTGGAAAGGGCCAGATAGTAAATATTTCAGGCTTTGGGGCCCTGTGGTCTCTCTTGCTACTACCCAGTTCTGCCCCTGCATTGGAAAAGCAGCTATAGACAATGCATGAAGGAATGGTTGTGTCTGGATACCAGTAAAATGCTATTTATGGATGTTGAAATTTGAATTTCATGTAATTTTTTAAGTATCTTGAAATATTTTCATTTTTTCCAACTATATAAAATGTAAAAACCATTTGTAGCTCACTAGTTGTACAAAAACAGGCTATAAGCTCGAATGGGGCCACAGGCTGTAGTTTGCTATGCCCTTTTCTTCTTTGCTGTTTGCCATCCTTACTTTCTCTTTGTCTTGACACTTATTCATTTCTGTGTACAACTTTGCAACAGTTCCATCATCAACAAACTGATTGCTTATTTATTTATTTTAACTCCAACTTTTAATTTTGTTGTTACAGAAAAGCAAAGCCCAAAGAAAACACGATTTACCTTAAGGTCCAAACCTCAGAACCCTCGGGCACCTGAGAGAGATGTTTTGCGGCGATGTCGTGTTGGAGGGATGAAGATGGAGTTATCCTCTGCAGAAATTCCTAGACGCCTTCACTTCTCTGTATTCTTCCTCATACTTGCCTACCCCCAAATTAATATCAGTCCTAAAGAATGGTTTGTGTGGGCTTTGTCTTATTTTGTTTTCTTTCTTTTAAGTTCTCCAAAGCCCTGGCTATCTTCCACCTGTGCATTCGATCTAGGGAAAGCTGTTGGTGCTATTGGTATCGGGTACTTAATTATCTAAAGGCGTTTGAAGATCAGTAGAATTTAAATATTGCTATAAAAGAGGGCTGTGTAATTGGATTCCTAGAATAAGTATTCTAGAAAGAATTTTCTAGAAAGAAAATTGGTTTGATTCACTCTCTGAAACAAAATGCCTTTGCATTTGTATGTATCTATATTGGTGAAAACCTTTCAACATGTAGATTGCTTGGAGAGTACAATCAGCCTTCCATATCTGTGGGTTCCACATCTGTGGATTCAAGCCACTGCAGACTGAAAATATTTGGGTAGCTGGGGTTGGTGGCTCACGCCTGTGATCCCAACACTTTGGGAGGCTGAGGCAGGAGGATTGCTTGAGCCCAGGAGTTTTCGACCAGCGTGGGCAACAGTGAGAGCCTGTGTCTACAAAAAAGGGAAAAAGTTAGCTGGATGTGGTGGCCCACACCTGCAGTCCCAGCTATTAGGGAGGCAGAGGTGGGAGGCTTACTTGAGCCCAGAAATTCAAGGCTGCAGTGAGCCATGATTATGCCATTGCACACCAGCCTGGGTGACAGAACAGGACCCTTTCTCAAAAAAAAAAAAAAAAAAAAAAAAAATTGTGCAGCAAAGATGATTGCATCTGCATTGAATGTATACATACTTATTTTTTGTCATTATTCCGTGAACAATACAGTATAACAACTACTTACATAGCATTTACATTATATTAGGTATTATAGTTAATCTAGAGATGATTTAAAGCATAAGGGAGGATGTATGTAGGTTATATGCAAAAATGACATCATTTTATATCAGGGACTTGAACATTCTCAGATTTTGGTGTCCATGGGGGTCCTGGAACCAATCCTCACAGATATCAAGGGGCAACTGTACTGGTTTTTAGTATGGAAACTCTGCCCACAAACCATGTCCTTGTGACATTTACGTACACATGATAGAATAAAACATGCTCCTCATTCAAACACCAGAAGCACCATGGCCATTTTAGGGAAGATGTCTCTGCCCCCTTGTTCCAGGAATATTTTATTCTATCTCACTCTTGGTTTTGGTTCTCCTTGGTGATTCTAGAAGGTGAATGCCTGTGCCAACCATGAGATATCACAGTAAATATATCAAAGAGAGTTCACTTCAGGATGAGTTATGTGCTTCCTGAACCCTACACCATGCATGATTTTGTTCCTGGAGGACACAAAAAACTTTATTTTAAAATTTCTTTACCTGTCAGGCAAATCACAAAGATAACAATAGCCAGTCTTCAGAGTATATCAGGAAAAAGCTTCTAATGGGAATTGGAGGCATGGTGAAATACACGTGGTTGTATTATAGACACTTCTGGCCTGATCTAGCTGAGGTCAGTGATGGCCACAAGGACTTGAGATCACGGAAGTGGGTGACGAGCAGCACTTTGGTTGTCCTTTGAGAACAGACATTGCTACTTGAAAACTCAAATCTTTGTCCTTGGGAAAAAAACCAAAAAAACAAAAAACAAAGAACTCTCAATGGTGGAGTGAACATAGCCCTTCATTTCAGTGTTGGAAGCAAAGCCCTTGCCCTGTATCTTATACTTTCTGATGATAATGATCACACTGTTTACTGGTCACAAATAGTAAATTGTAGGCTTTGAATGATGTTTTTCAAATGTGTATTAAAAATGTCCTCTCTAATCTTTCTTAGAATCCTCTTGGCAAAACTTCTGAGGAAGGCCTTAAACAAACAAAAAAAAGTCAACATTAAAAACAGCGACACTCCCTGGTCAAACTTCCTTATGGCTCTGTGGACATGTATGAAGAAATTAGCACGTGTGCTGTTCTTGCAGGATAAGGCACAGCTAGTGTGTACTTACAGCACACAGCGGCATTGGTGCGGGTCACAGTAAGGTTTGTCTGACCAGTCAGGAAGTGAATCTGGGAGAGTGGCAGGACCCCCGCAGGCATGTCTGCTCATGCTCTCCCAAGGGAGGGAGGGAGCGTAATTCCAGGGAGGGTTTAAACATGGAGCCATGGAAACAAAGTGTATTTCATGTTGCCTGATGCATCATGAAGGGGACATTGGGGACCCTTCCCTTCCTGCCTTCCTCACTGTTGCTGTGACAGAGCCAAAGTCTGTCTTGATAAAAATGGGGGGTGGCGAAGGGCGTCTGGCAGTGTGAAGGCAGAAATAAGTGGGTTGGGAGCCAGATGGCATTCAGATGCTTGGAAAGGCTAGTAGCTGTGACCCGGGCATCAGGAAACATACAAAGTTCCTGGTCAGGGCCTTGCTGTGAAATGCCCAGGCCCCTCCTTCAGGGGCAGTGCTGTGGAGTTCCCTGCCATTCCCCAAGCATGTGACAGGAGCCAGGGGATGCCCCAGCCCTCCTCGGCTGGTAAGAGAGCCCAAAGATAGTCACAGCAACAAATCATGCAAGAATTCTCATAGCAGTGGGGCGCACTCAGGTGGTGCTGAGAACATCAGAGCAGCACAACTGACCCTATGCGTAGATGGAGGGGATCTGCAGATCCCTGCAATCACCTCCTCAATCCCGCCCCAACATGTCTTCATGTGGGTCTTGCAATGAAAGAAGTAAAATTTTACCTTGGTCAGCAAGTGATGGGTGTGGGGGGCTGCAGATCAGGAAAGAGCAGGATGGGGTGGTAGCCGGGGGTCTGGCGGTCCAGGGATGGGTGTCTGACGAGAGCAGGAGTGACGGCGATGGGAGGAGGCTGTCACTTTCTGCCTGTTGCTGAGGACGCAGCTTTCTGTCCCGGAAGGAGGGAGGCAGCTTTCTGTCCCGGATGGATACTGGACCCTGGCATGAGCTGGATGTGTTTCCAGGGTCTCCTCCACCCTGGAGCAGGGTCCTTGACCATCTGAGACTCTGTCTGAGACTCCGCCTCCTTACGGCACCTCGCTCCCAGTGGTTGTGAGGATTCCAGGAGCTGCAGGCTTCCCCCAGCAGAGCCCCAGAGTCAGTGCGGGGGCTGCTGCTGCATCAGGTGGCCTCCCAGCCACGTGGTCTCATGATCAGCAGCTTATGGTGGATTCAATGATCTCCAGCTGAGGAAAGAATGACTGTCCCTTGATGCTTACTCCTTATACCTGGTTGCTAAGGGCAATGTGTCCTAATGTCCATCCCACCTGCACCTCTTCCCAGCAGGTGGCAGGTGAATGTCTGATGTTTTGAGACATCAACAGAGCAGGCAAATTAGAGGCCTATTTGACTTAATTTAAGAGGTCTCTTGCAAAAGGTCATTAATGAGACATATTGATAAAGACTCAGTCATCGCCACATTGGGAAGTTAAGGAAGCTAAGTTCAGAGATGTCAAATGACTGACAAGCATGCAACGGGACTTTGAATTTCCATCTTCTGGGTCAGATTACAGGAGGAGCAAGTATAAGCTTGCAAATTAAACAGGAAGGAGGGAGGTTGGAGGGAGCTGTGTCCTCTTTGGGATGAGCTTCCTGGCATTACTGATTGTGCATTTGTCCCTGGCCCCATGCTGCTGAGCAGGACAGAGGGAAAGCCTAAGAGTGCCCTGGGCAGAGTTCGAAGATCCCATCCCAGAGCGGTGACACTCTAGGCATCCTGTGCTCACTTGCTGATTCTGCTCTTCAGCCTGGGCAGTGGCATTTATCCTCTTCCGGGTTCCTGTCTGAGTAGAGCATTTCATCTTTCTATGCCATTTGTAAAAAGGATGTGTACATGGAAACTACATACACATCTACACATTCACATACACAGCTACATTCACACATGGTCTGGTTTATGAGGGTATTGGATTAATTTCAAACCTCTCATTGTAGAGTACATGCTGCTTTCTCTCATCAGTCTCATCATTCAGTTAAAATAAACATGAGAATCTGGTTGTCTGGGAGTTTTGAGGAATGGCAAATTTGTGACTATAAAAATAACAATAGCTCAGATGTATTCAGAACTTGCTGTGTACTAGCTACTGTCCTAAGCACTTTCTTATATTATCTTGTTAAATTCTCATAACACTTCTATTATATTGGGTAATGTTACCTAATTGCAAAGAAAAGGAAACTGAGGCATAAAGAGGCTAAGGGGTTTGCCCAACATTACCAGGTAGTAAGCGAAGAACCTGTAGTCTCGCTCCAAAATCCAAGTTTTGAAGCAGGATACTGCATTTCCAACTGACATCTGGGCAATAGCATCTTTATGCATTACCAAGAAAAACCCCAAAATAAAAAAAAAAAATTCATTCTTTTGTAGAGAAACATTGTTTTTTTTTCCTTTGTGTGAAGTCTTTATTTCAGGTTTGTATTTTTTTTTTTTTTTGAGATGGAGTTTCACTCTTGTCACCCAGGCTGGGGTACAATGGTGTGATCTCTGTTCACTGCAACCTCTACCTCCCAGGTTCAGGCAATTCTCCTGCCTCAGACTCCTGAGTAGCTGGGATTACAGGCACGCCACCATGCCCAGCTAATTTTTGTATTTTTTTAGTAGAGATGGGGTTTTACCATGTTGGCCAGGCTGGTCTGTAACTCCTGACCTCAGGTGATCTGCCCACCTCAGCCTAACAAAGTGCTGGGATTACAGGCATGAGCCACCGTCCCCAGCCTATTTCAAATATTTGTTAAATCACCATTGCTATTCCTCAGGACAAGAGCAAAAAACACCCCCCAGAGCATAGCTAACATGGTCCCAGATTGCAGTTTCTGTTTCTGGAAGGTTCAGGTACAGTGCGGGAGTCCATTTGTCTACTTGGCTACACCACCGGCTGAGGTGTCATGGGGTCAATGTCACTCAAGTTCCTGGCAAACCAAACTCCTGCAAACAGTCCCAGATTGAGGATCAAGTTCCTCTGGAATCACTCCTATCAGTGGCAAAGCGGTGGACACCCCACGACTATCTCCGCCATTGTCAGGAATTTCAGGAGCTTCATTGGCTAAGCCTGCAGCACTCAGGGTGACCCGGCTGGAAGGCAGAGTAGTCGAGAATCATTCTTTTGGAGACAAGACTGAAAAGGCTTCCCTGGCTGGTCTGAGCAGGACGTTCTAAGGGTCGCTGCTCCTTGGTGGTGTGAGAAGCACATTCTCTTTGGAACTGCAGTAACTAAGCACCTAGCTGCAACTAGGGCTATGGTGAGTTTGCCTCGATTATTGTTAAATTGCAGTTTACCTGACACCTCACTTGTGATTTAGTTTAAAAATTTTAAATTACCAAGAAACGGGGGAAAAAAAGTAAAATTCACTTTAAATCCCACCACTTAGAAGAATTCCATGGAGGAAAACTGAAGGTCGGTCACCGCCCCGTCTCCCCCACCCCAGGGAGTCAGTGTTGACAGGTGGTGAGTTTCCACCCTTCCTCTCTACAGACGGAGCTTGCTGACTAAGGAAAAAAAATCAAGCTTTTAAAGAATTAAAGTTTGCTTTATTCAGAGGTCTTACTGAGGACTACAGTCCAGGAGAAGATTTTCAGAGAGTTCCTGTCAGGCTGTTCCAGAACACCATTTTGGCTCAGAATTTATATGCGGATCATGGAGGCTCAGTGCAAAATCACATCAAACTTGCTTATAAGTTACATGAAAGCAGAATCAATCGCATCAAGGTGTGGGAGCAGGAGCACATCTGGTTATAGAGTACAGTGGCACAGTCAGCAGCCCCATCAGACGTTATCTTCCGTGTGGGAAAAGGCAAGGCTAGGGGCATTCAACATTTTTTTTTTTTTTAATTTTATTATTATTATACTTTAAGTTTTAGGGTACATGTGCACAATGTGCAGGTTAGTTACATATGTATACATGTGCCATGTTGGTGTGCTGCACCCATTAACTCGTCATTTAGCATTAGGTATATCTCCTAATGCTATCCCTCCCCTCTCCCCCCACCCCACGACAGTCCCCGGAGTGTGATGTTCCCCTTCCTGTGTCCATGTGTTCTCATTGTTCAATTCCCACCTATGAGTGAGAACATGCGGTGTTTGGTTTTTTTGTCCTTGCGATAGTTTGCTGAGAATGATGGTTTCCAGCTTCATCCATGTCCCTACAAAGGACAGGAACTCTTCATTTTTTATGGCTGCATAGTATTCCATGGTGTATATGTGCCACATTTTCTTAATCCAGTCTATCATTGTTGGACATTTGGGTTGGTTCCAAGTCTTTGCTATTGTGAATAGTGCTGCAATAAACATACGTGTGCATGTGTCTTTATAGCAGCATGATTTATAATCCTTTGGGTATATACCCAGTAATGGGATGGCTGGGTCAAATGGTATTTCTAGTTCTAGATCCCTGAGGAATCACCACACTGACTTCCACAATGGTTGAAGTAGTTTACAGTCCCACCAACAGTGTAAAAGTGTTCCTATTTCTCCACATCCTCTCCAGCACCTGTTGTTTCCTGACTTTTTAATGATTGCCATTCTAACTGGTGTGGGATGGTATCTCATTTTGGTTTTGATTTGCATTTGTCTGATGGCCAGTGATGATGAGCATTTTTTCCTGTGTTTTTTGGCTGCATAAATGTCTTCTTTACCAATGACTTTCTTCACAGAATTGGAAAAAACTACTTTAAAGTTCATATGGAACCAAAAAAGAGCCCGCATCTCCAAGTCAATCCTAAGCCAAAAGAACAAAGCCGGAGGCATCACGCTACCTGACTTCAAACTATACTACAAAGCTACAGTAACCAAAACAGCATGGTACTGGTACCAACACAGAGATATAGATCAATGGAACAGAACAGAGCCCTCAGAAATAATGCCACATATCTACAACCATCTGATGTTTGACAAACCTGAGAAAAACAAGCAATGGGGAAAGGATTCCCTATTTAATAAATGGTGCTGGGAAAACTGTCTAGCCATATGTAGAAAGCTGAAACTGGATCCCTTCCTTACACCTTACAAAAAATTAATTCAAGATGGATTAAAGACTTGTGTGTTAGACCTAAAACCATAAAAACCCTAGAAGAAAACTTAGGCAATACCATTCAGGACATAGGCATAGGCAAGGACTTCATGTTTAAAACACCAAAAGCAATGGCAACAAAAGCCAAAATTGACCAATGGGATCTAATTAAACTAAAGAGCTTCTGCACAGCAAAAGAAACTACCATCAGAGTGAACAGGCAACCTATAAAATGGGAGAAAATTTTCGCAACCTACTCATCTGACAAAGGGCTAATATCCAGAATCTACAATGAACTCAAACAAATTTACAAGAAAAAAACAAACAACCCCATCAAAAAGTGGGTGAAGGATATGTTTGTTTTGTTTTTTTTGTTTGTTTGTTTGTTTTGAGACAGAGTCTCGCTCTGCCCTGCAACCTGGAATGCAGTGGCATGGTCAGGGCCCACTGCACCATCCACCTCCCGGGCTCAAGAGATCCTCCCACATCAGCCCCTGCTAGTAGCTGGGACTACAGGGACTACAGGCATGTGCCACCATGCTGGGCCAATTTTTTGTATTTTTAGTAGAGATGGGGGTCTCTTGCCATATTGCCCGGCTGGTCTCAACTCCTGGACTCAAGTGATCTGCCCACCTTGGCCTCCCAAAGCTCTGGGATTACAGGCATGAGCCGTTGCGCCTGGCCAAGTCATTCAACTTTTAAGGAAAGACGCGACTCAGGCAAGAGGCATGGGGGCCTCTCGGGCTCCATGTGCTCTCTCCTGCTTTATCTTCAAAGCACTTTTCCAGGGAGCTGCACGGCCTCCCAGTCAAGGGCTTTGTGAAACGATGTTGGCAAGTAGAAATGAGCACACCTGGCTTCTTACCTTTCTTACAAGCCGTATACAAAAATATCAGGCAGGATGACCTTCTGAAGCAACAAGAATGCGTGTTTCCCCCACACTCTTCCTTTCAACCCCTATTCTGGTGACCATTGCCAGCTGAGTGGCCTAAGGGGAACCAGAAGACAAAGGCTGCAGACTGCTGGCATTGGGCGGCAGGCCAGCTATGACAGAGTCTCAGGACACCAGCACGAGTCTCCCTGTCAATGGAGGAGATAAGAGTTGTTGGGGGCCGGGAAAGCTGGCTCCTGAAGGGTGCATTAGTCTGAGTGGAATTTGCCTGTGAGTGGCCAAAATCTCCAAAATATCAGGGGCTTAAACAAGATAAAAGAAATTTTATCTGACTAAGGAAAAAAATTCCTGACTAAAGAAAGAAATTCTTTCTCATGTTCAAGAAGCTTGAAGGACAGAGTGCAGTGCTTGTGTGGGATGTGGCAGAGACAGGCCCAGGTGCCTGCCATCTCATTCTGTGGACAGAGCTTCCTCCCTGAGGTCCACACTGGCTGCTGGGCTCCCCGTCACATGCAGGAGATGGGGTACCATGAGGAACATAGATCCTCCCTTTAAGGGGACTTCTGGACACTGCCTGCAGCCCGTCAGCTGGACCTCATGGCCAGAATATCTGGAGAAGTGGGTGGCTTCAGGCCCTTCCTAGAGTTGGGTTGCTTTACTGTGGAAGTAGGTGAGAGGAGATGGGAGGTGGCCAAGTGCATCTGCTCTGGTTGGAGGGGTGGATGACCTTGAGGGTCTGAAGTAGGGACCTGCTTGGTTGCTGTAGGTGGCCATGACGCTGCCCACCTGGGGACCCTGAGCAGGTGGACCTGAGGCAGCTCAGAGATTCCTTGTGCCATGGGGGTAGGGGGAGCAGCATGATGTGACTTAGGGCTTGTCATGGCTGGTGATATGGTTTGGCTGTGTCCCCACCCAAATCTCGTCTTGAATTGTAGCTCCCATAATTTCCATGTGTCATGGGAGGAACCCAGTTGGAGGTAACTGAATCATGGGGGTGGGTCTTTCCTGTGCTGTTCTCTTGATAGTGAATAAGTCTCATGAGATCTGATGGTTTTATAAAGAGGAATTCCCCTGCACAAGTTTTCTCTTCCCTGCCACCATGTAAGATGAGCCTTGCTCCTCCTTGCTCTTTTGCCCTGATCATGAGGATTCTGCAGCCATGCGGAACTGTGAGCCCATTCAACCTCTTTCCTTTGTAATTACTCAGTCTCGGGTGTGTCTTTATTAGCAGTGTGAGAATGAATGAATACAGCTGGGATGAAGGTTCCACCCACAGCTGGGGCACGGACTGCATAGCTGGGACCATGTGGGGAGAAAGACACCCTGGAAAGGCTGGCGTGGGCACAGGCTGCCCAAGGAGGGACACTGCCTGCAGAGCCATGGCATGAAGCAAGCCTCCCGGGCCCTATGTGCCCTGCTCTGGGGACACCAGGGGAGGGGAACAACCTGCAATTCATGAAATTTACATGAATTTATGAAGGGGAGAAAAACCCTGAAGTCACTGAGCTTACTTTGAATTGCGAAGATTACGTTTTCCACTGCCTGCTGGAGTACAGGCCTGAGGTAAGAACAAAGTCACACAATTACAAGGTCATATTCCTTGCACAATTAACTTTTATAGCCTTAGAATTTATGGGGTTGTGCCATCTGCTGGTCTGCAGCTTGCTTTTTCAAATTAACTTCTTTCCATTTCAGCACACAGGGGTCTGACTGGTTTGAGCAGCTGCATAGCAATGTATTGAGTGCCATCATTGATTGAACCATTTCTGCTTTCTGTTCCTAGAGTGTGCTCCCCTTCATGTGAATGTCAATGATGGGGTTGTTAGTTGGTTCTCCCACCTCATCCTGTTTGTCACACCCCCCCTTAGTGGTCCAACTCTCCTTGGGGGCAGCCAGTGGGAGCAGTTAGGGCAGCGGGCAGTCCCCTGGCTAGTCACCCAGGGCCTCTGCACCAGGCCCTCTGCACCACCTAGCCCAGACCCTCCTGCCTGCAGCCCAGTAGGATGGGTGGATCAGCTTGGATTTCTGTGTGTCTTGGGTGCTTATGGCGCTTGGCCCACCACAGAGAGCAGGTAAGGCGCTGTTCTGTGCGTTCCTGGACTCCCCTGTGCTTGATCATCCTCTTGCACATCCTCTTGTGCCTTCCTTTTTTTTGTTTTTGTAAATGTCAAAGCTGTAGACTCTGTGTGCAAAACATATTTTTCTTGCTGAACCAAATCCTGTTTGCCTCATCTTACATATTCATTTTGTTCTATTTCTGTATATATAGAACAAAATATGTATTACATTTTATTTTTATAAATATATTTTAATGTATTTATAAGTGTATTTTATAAATGTATTTATTACATAAAATACATAAATACATTTATTACATAAAATACATAAATATATTTAATGTGTAAAATACATAAATACATATGTATTTATTACATAAAACACATACATTTATGTATTTATGTAAAACATTTATTGTGTATAAATGTATTTATACATACATTTATTGTGTATAAATGTATTTATACATACATTTATTGTGTATAAATGTATTTATACATACATTTATTGTGTATAAATGTATTTATACATACATTTATTGTGTATAAATGTATTTATACATACATTTATTGTGTATAAATGTATTTATACATACATTTATTGTGTATAAATGTATTTATACATACATTTATTGTGTATAAATGTATTTATACATACATTTATTGTGTATAAATGTATTTATACATACATTTATTGTGTATAAATGTATTTATACATACATTTATTGTGTATAAATGTATATTATTTATACATACATTTATTGTGTATAAATGTATATTATTTATACATACATTTATTGTGTATAAATGTATATTATTTATACATACATTTATTGTGTATAAATGTATATTATTTATACATACATTTATTGTGTATAAATGTATTATTTATACATACATACATTTATTGTGTATAAATGTATTATTTATACATACATACATTTATTGTGTATAAATGTATTATTTATACATACATACATTTATTGTGTATAAATGTATTATTTATACATACATACATTTATTGTGTATAAATGTATTATTTATACATACATACATTTATTGTGTATAAATGTATTATTTATACATACATACATTTATTTATATATATTGCATTTTATATTGCTTACAACAGGGCCTACAAAATGATCTCAAACTTGCAGGGCTGTATTTGAAATCTCTCAATAGGTGTGTTTCCTAAACATATCACTTAAGCATTTTGCCCTGACTCAATTAAATAACTTTCATCTCTAATAGGCACTATCCTTAGTCCTCAAATGCAAGAGACAACGTTTTTACCTTCCAGCCCTTGAGAAGTGTACAGGGGAGGGGACCTGTACTGTCTCCAGTGCTGCAGTCCCCTTGGGGCGGGGGTGGCTGACAAAATAGATCTCAGGGGGATAGATGGCCTTGGTGCCCAAAGAGATCACAACAGCCAAATGGACTCCCAAAAATGTACTGCCTGTTTCCTGTGGCTCTCACACAGACCCTGGCTGGTGACACTAGATGGATTCTTTGCTAGTCCCAGGAGGGTAAAATGGGGATCCTACGAGCTAAAGAGCAGCTGAGAGGAGACGTGAGTAATCCATGACCCCATGTTCCATCCTCTTCACAGCAGATTCTAACATTGTTTCAGGCTAGCCCTGGACAAAAAGGCTGAACTATTCAGAGCATCATGCTTGGGCATTCAGTTACCCTAGTTTAGGAGAGACACTTTCAGTTTTCATCTATCCCTCAAGGGAACCTCTGACTGTGACTAGAATTTCCACCCAGTCTCGGGTGGCCTGTAATATATCAGCACACCCTTCATTTCCCAACTGCTCTCTTTCTTTTCCAAGCACAGCACGCATTTTCTTTCTAGCCCTAAACACTGGCTGCTCATAAAACCAACCCCTGCCACTTATTGTCCAGCTCAGAGGTCCAGACCTCTCTCTAACTGTTCCAGGAATGTTCAGGTTTTATCAGCTCATAGTCCCAGACATGAGCATTATTAATAACATTCACAATTGCTCTTCTTGACAAAGAGCTCTTTAAACATTGGATCGTTTACCCGTGGGAGGCAAGGCTTTTGTGGCCTCATTTTCATCACTCTTAATTTGTACTTTTAGATAAATGTCTTGAAAATATTTGCAATTTCACCCCGATTTAGTAATCATAGACACTGGTTTGTTTAACCATCTATTTGTTGGACGTGCACTGCAGCAATTGAGATGACTGTCCGGTTTATGGGTGCCCAGAGAGACCCCCACTTCCAGTTCAGGACATAGAGAGGAGGCTGCCTTTTGCTTGTGGCTGTGGCCCCCCAGGGTCCCTGGGGTTCATCTAAACCTCACTAATGGAGCTGTCAAACTTTACCTCTCTCCTCAAACCCAAGTACTAAACTCCTCCCACCCATGTATTCATTTAGGCCTTTATTTAGAAAACACTCATTGAGTACCTGTTATGTGTCAGGCACTGTCTTAGTTAATGAGGATTCAACAGTAAATTAAAAACAAAAGAAAAACCAAAAAACCTCCGCCCTCAGAGAAGTTACTTTCTAGTGGGGGAAAACAGACCAAAACAAAATAAGAAAATGATATTAAATCTTTAGAAAGGATCAGGCCTTGTGGATAAGAATAAAAGAGCAGAGTTCAGCAGTTCCAGTTGGCAAAAGCTGGGAAGGAAGAAATGATGAATCTTGTCCAGGACTTGTTGAGTTTGAGCAAAGATGTCCAATGGGTGGTGGGAGATGGCTTTGGGGCTTGAGCTCATGTCTGGAGAGGGAGAAACATCAGCATTTGATGGATACTGAAGACAGGAGAATGGATGAGCAGTCTGGAATGAGAAAAGATGGCGTTCAGAACAAAACCCAAGATGGAGGACAGAATAGAGACTTCATAATAAAGACTTGGGAAACTGCTGAAAACAAATGGTAGTGTGGGATATAAGTCAGCCAATGATCATCATTTCGCTGCTATTTGGGCAAAACCCTGTGCTCTCTCGCTCATTCTGACTTAAAATCTAGCAGAAAATATGATGGGCACTTGGAAGGAAATCCCAACCTATTCAGCAATTTAGTGACTACAACATACTAGGCAGCTGGTGGCTTCATTCTGCCATATGTAATTTGCAAGATGGTCTTGGGTCCTGTCTTTGTTCTGGAGGGGATGAGGAGCAGGGTGCCTATGTTCTAGTTCTCATATTTATAAAATGGGGAGGGATTTTCCACCTTACATCCAAGGAGGAAAAACTACCAGAAGAATTATACTAGCTTCTATTTATTTACCATCTCATTTTCTTATGTGTGTTCTAAACATATACACAGTTGAAGCAATATTCTGATAGAAACTTCTTTTTGTCTTTAAAATTGCTGTCCCATTCCCATACATGTCAGTAGCTGGCCACAGTGGCATCCCTGCACCCTTGAATAGTTAAGTTGCTCACGGCCACAGTCTTGCTTAAATATTTTCAAATTGCTGGATGACATCCTTTTTTTAAAATTTTTATTTTTAGAGACAAAGTCTCACTATGTCTTTCACCCAGGCTGGAGTACAGTGGTGCAGTCATAGCTCACCACAGCCTCAAATACCTGGGCTCAAACGATCCCCTCATCTCAGCATCCTAGGAGCTAGGACTACAGGCATGCACCACCATGCCTGAGTAGTTTTATAAAACATTTTTTTGTTGTTGTTGTCGTTGTTATAGAGACAGAGTCTCCCTATGTTGTGCAGGCTGGTCTCAAACTCCTGGCCTCAAGCAATCCTCCCACCTTGGCTTCCCAAAGTGCTGGGATTACAGAGATGAGCCACTATGCCTTGCCTACTCTCCTCTTTTTTATTAAGAAGGAAAAATGAAGATTTATAAAGCTTTGGATAATATTATAATGTAGAGATGTGGTTTGGTGGGAGGAAATAAAGCATGATACAACAAAGTTAACCAAAAGGATCTTTTATGTAAGAGAATTAAATAGTAGAGAAGAAAAGTTGATAGTTCACTAGGGAAATTTATTTTTACATGAGAACATGATACGAAAGGACTTAGTAAAATCAGTCAAATGGGGAACTCTACACGTGCTATGACTTTGAAGCCTTCCCTGGTCCCCTCAGTGGCTCGGGCTGCCTCTGATACGGGGCCGCTGTGGCTGGTCCTAAAGACAAGAAAAATGCAAAGTTCAAGAAGGTCAGGGAAATGTTTTTGCCAAAGAGCAAGGACTCTTGGAGATGTCTAGGGTAGTGGCAACAGACAAAGATGCCTAAATATGGATGGTGCCCAATGCCAAGCGGAGACAATTTCAACATCCTGATGACAGTGGTTAAAGTCAAGCAGAACAAGTTGAGCCTATAAACAAGTCCATGATAATACTCAGATGGAACAAACAGCAAGCACGCCAAGGAAAAAGCACATGAGTTTCCAATAAAGTTTACAAGCTGTTCAATTAGTTCAACAAAACTGATGTGAGCCCTCCACTCAAGGTGAAACACCCAAGTTAATAATCATAAATAAGCAGATGTAGCGAGGAAATAATTAAAGCATGCTTAAAATATATGATGTCTATGGTTTGATCATTTTAAATTACAATATTTTGGCCATCCAGTATTGTAGTGACTTAGAAACCAAGGCCAAATCTTTCAGAGGCTCAATCCAAATTGAAGATGATACATTTGGAATTGAGAATGTAGACCTGCTTTGCCCCAATGGGAATAAATGACCTGCAGGGTCGGAGGCTGGCAGCTGGAGGCTAGAGGCCCCGAGGCATTCCCCTCGCTGTGGCTCTCAAGGCTCAGATTCAGCTACTGGCCAACAAGCCATGGAGTTATGCCTTGGGCAGAAACAGCCACAGAACTGTTCATCACTTTCAAAGATAAAAAAAATTAAAATGGTATCTTAAAACGTTTTAGTTTAGGCTGGGCACAGTGGCTTACACTTGTAATCCCAGCCATTTGGGAGGCTGAGGCGGGTGGATCACCTGAGGTCAGGAGTTCGAGAGCAGCCTGACCAACATGGTGAAACCCTGTCTCTACTAAAAATACAAAAATTAGCTGGGTGTGGTGGTGGGTGCCTGTAATCCCAACTACTTGGGAGGCTGAGGCAGGAGAATTGCTTGAACCTGGGAGGCGAAGGTTACAGTGAGCCAAGATCAGGCCATTGCACTCCAGCCTGGGTGAGAGAGTAAGACTCCATCTAAAAACAAAACAAAACAAAACAAAAAACAAAACTCTTTAGTTTATACTTAAAAATCTGAATTACAAGACAGTTCCTCCTACCTTAGCTGTCATACTCCTAACGGTAATTACAGTCAACTCTTCAAATGGTACTTTAAATTCCAGGCTAGAACTGTAAGATTCAGAAATTCCCACAGCCCCAGGCTCCCTCTCAACCTCCCTGCTCAGGGAGGGTGAGGTCGGGTGATGACACAACCTGCACAAACCTGATAAAGCCACCAGAAAGGGACCTGGGGGCTGACCACTGAGGAGGTCAAAATGGTCACCATCGTTGTCAAATTGGAAAACAGTAATCAGATGTATGCACTTAAAACAATAAGTATTTGGGGTTTTTTAAAACAAAATTTGAGGGAATTCTTTGATGCTGATTTACTGATTAGAGTTAGCCAAAAAGTCTACTGAAATGATAAAAACCCTCTGGCCACGGGAGGCTGAACGGGGAAGAGGTGTGGGGTGGGTGGCTGAGCGGGGAAGAGGTGTGGAGGAGGCAACAGTGTTCCTGGACCAAACTGAGGGTGGGGTTGCTTATTCTCGCAGCTCAGTAATGAGATGCAGATGAACTGGGAAAGAAGAGAATTTACTTCAGTAACCGGGTACAGGGAGAAGGGTGGGAAAATATCACCAGACCGACTCAAAATTATAATGTTTTCCAGAGCTTATAGACCTTCTGAGCTATATGTCTATGTAAAAGTGTACATTCTTCTAAAGACGTAAGTGATTAACATTTTCTAATCTCTAAAGTCTGAGTCCTGAAGACCTTCCTCCGGAGCCTCAGTAAATTTACTTAGTCTAGATGGATCCAAGTGCTAGGGTGATTACCCTTATCTTGTCTCCTGCTAAATCATGGAGGTTTGGGGAATTCCTTTAGACCCCAGTAAAACTTGTTTGTGGATGTCTGGGGAATTCCATCAGACCCCAGTTAAACTTGTTTAATCCTAAACGGGTCCTGTTAAGAATTCCTTAAAAAAAAAAAATTCCTTTGTTATCTTGTCATGCTTCAAGGCCCAGGAAAAGCCTAGGCAAAACAAAAGGTGGGCTTTTGTTACATATCAGCCTTTGTATAGGGACAGAGGCTCTATCAGCTTTTAATATTTAACTTAACCACTCAGTCAGTGCTCAAACAATTGTCATGGAGGTCTGCCCGTTCAGCTGTTAGTGAGACCTAGCCTGCCACAAAAGGAAGAGGTATCTATGACCTAAACCAAGGGCATGAAGAAAATTGTCTGGAGATTTGGGAAATATAACTTGTGATCCACAGTCATTTAAAATGGGGAGGTTCTAGAGACTTCCTTTTCCAGGGTGGTCCCAGGGATCAGCTGCTCTTGACATGACTGGTGGTGTTCAAAGCTCAAGACACAGCCCACTGCATCCCTACCACATGGTCTCTGATTTTGCAGGGTCCAAACCAAAGGCTGCTCTCTTTGTATGAGAAAAAACATGTTTAAGACGAATGAGCCTGGGGCTGATACCTCTACCCCAAATGCCAATATGCATGAGTGGCCCTTGAAGCCTTGTTCCTGTGCTGGGTTTGTTCTAAAGAACAGTTGTGCAACATCTGACTACTACTATCCAAGGAAAAGGATAGGTCATTCCGACATTTGGTGCAGAAACTCTGGTTAATTTGGTTAAAGGAGCATGTCTTCTGCCAGTGAGAGCCACTGTGTAAAGGATGCAGAGACTTGAATTAATGATCAGTTAAAAGAAAACCGTGCGCTGGGTAATTTTTAAAATTCAACAAGGCAAATGTAGTTGGTGAATTAATGACCTGTTTAAGACTAATGAATGATGATCTTCTGATAGCAATGGTAAAAAATGCTCTTACCTGGGTATTCTTGGATCATTACAAAATTAACCATCATTCTGGGGCTACACAGCCAACCATTATCTCCCCCCACCAACTTTTATTTTGTCTTGGGTAGAGTCCACATAACGGAAAACTATGGCTCAAGAAATTTCTTACCTGTTTTCATTAATTGATGCATCCATCATCCAACCATCCACCATGAACTCAGTTAGTAGTTGTTAATTGACCATCTATTATGTGCCAGGCACAGTTCTAGGTGTTGGGCTTTCAGTTAGAGAACAACAAAGGCACGATCTCTTGCCTTCATTGAATTTATATTCTAGTTGGGGGAGACAGACTAAAGACATTAAGAGATGATCAAAATACTTTCAGAAGGAGATAAAGTCAGTCAGGATGATAGGATGCAGAAAGACTTGAATAGATGCCCGGGGCTAATTTAGTTTAAGTATTTGTGGAACTATTTTTTCTTTTTTCTTGAATAGAGAGTATTAATACATGTTTACCATGGCTCCTGAATGAGTGTATGATCCCCTTTTTCTATTGAAGAAGGATTAATATTATGTAATTTCATTGATTTGAAGTTCTTTTCTTAGGGACCTTTCTGGATCCTGGTTATAATACCCCTCCCAAACCTACTTAGGGAGAAGTTTATGTCTTAGTTTAAGGCCTGTTCTTGTTCAGTAAACTCTGCTGACATTAAACCCTAGCAAGGCTGTGAATACATTTCTTTATCAAGTTACAATTTCTGTTTCCTTAACCTTCAGTTGCTGGAATGGAATGGCCCCCACATTCATACATTTTAACCCTAGGCCATGGGCACACTATTTTATTTTTCTGCTTCTAATAGGAACAGCAGCTGAGGGCCCTAGCCCTGCTCAAAGGCTTGAAATTTCCCAAGCAAAAGCTGAAAGAAATACAAGTGGTACAGAGATATTGTCTGGGCGTTGCATTTTATCAGGAAAAAAGAGTGGGTGGAATCTGCTAACCAGTATCAGACTATCAATGCCAGGAAATTTCCATTTCATTGTGAGCAAGAGAATCAGAGCAGTCTGGTCCAGAGACAAGTAGCAAATGCAATTTGCAGCAAGTGCCAAAACATGGGGCAAAGGGAAACTAGAGCAAATCTAAACTTTTCTATTATCCAGAGGTCTGTACCCCAAAGATCTGAAGTGTGACTCACACATTGTGTGTGTGTGTGACTGTGGCAGTGACCTTGTCCATGGGTCTTCTACAAAATCATATTTATGTGTCATTGAGAAAACCATCTCATCTACTAATTCTGAAAAAGTGTAGATTTTGTCTACAAAAAAAATGAAGAATCAGAGAAAAGATAACCAACCATTAAAACCATTTTAGGAGTTCAATACAAAATGACAAACCTGAGATATCATAGAGTTATATGAATTCCCCCTATGAAAAAGGGGAACATTTTTGAAAATCTCTATGCATGCTCTTTCCAAGATTCTAGAAGACAATGAAGTCACAGAAAGGGAAGCATTTGTTAGTACATATATTGCTTTTAGAAAAAAAAACCATCTGGAAAAGCAACAGAAGCAACGACGAGTAGATTGAATATTATGGAAATCAAATTTGGGAATTAGAAGATAAGCTTGAGAAATTCTGCTAGAATGCAGAGAAAAGAGACAGAAATGAATATGACGAGTAAAAAGATAAAGCACAAAGAAAGCAGACACAGTAGATGCCATGTGCATCTGCAGAGGGGTGAAGTTTGAAATTAACTCCCATTTGTTTTGCTCCTGTGCTTGAGGCTTAGCCTGAATTCCACAAAAGCAGAGGGGAATTTGATCAGGGAAGGAATCCCAGGAATGCCAGGAGTGTGGGAAGAGAGAGGGCGTGGAGCTGACAGGAGGATGCATTATTTTGGTGATCTCCAGGGACATCTGATCAAGTCCCAAGACCATGTATTTATTTATTTATTGATTCATTTATTCATTTATTTATTTATTTTTGAGACAGTCTCACTCTGTTACCCAGGCTGGAGTGCAGTGGCTTACTGCAACCTCCACCTCCTGGGTTCAAGTGATTCTCCTGTCTCGGCCTCCTGAGTAGCTGGAATTACAGGTGCCTGCCACCACACCAGGCCTGACCATGTAGTTTGATCACACCAAAGTTATTCCTCGAGCTTGGGAGAGCCTGGAGCACCACCTAAACATTGGAGTATTCCATCAATACTCTCCAACTTACATGACAATATTCTGGTAGAATTATTTAAATGTGAAATATAAAACCATTTGAAATACTAGAATATGATAGGGGCCAACATTTATGTAATTTTTATTCAAGCAAGACTTTCTAAACATAATACCAATTAAGAAACCACAAAGGAAAACAAGTATAGATTTGTCCACTTAAAAATTTAAAAAATTTTCTCTCTATGAAAAATACCAAATAAAAAACTAAAGGGCGAATGACCAACTCCAAGAAACAATTTGAAAAAGGCTCTGACGGAAAATAGAATATCCCAGAAGGAAAATGGGCAAAGAACAAAAATAGTCACTTCATAATATAAAGAAAATTAGCAATAACCATGAAAACATGTTCAACCTCACTCCTCAAAGAAATTCAGATAAAATGGCCAGGAGATATTATTTTGTGTGTGTGTGAGTGTGTTGTGTATGTGCATGTGTGAGACAGAGAGAGAGAAAGAGAGAGAGAGAGAGAGAGAGAGATGAGAAGGGAGAGGGAGAGGGAGGGAGGGAAGGAGAGAGAGAGAGCGCGAGAGAGCGAGAGAGAGCGCTGTGTGTGTGTGGCAAAGAAGACATGAAAAAGCCACACTCTGGCATTGTGTTGGTGAAATTAATTTGTAACACATTTTGAAGGACAAGCTGATGTTTATAGCAAAAGTCTTAAAATGTTCCAGCACATAGTAAAGAGTAAAAAAAACTCCCTGATTTTCGCAATACCCATACTCTTAACCACTTCTTTCTACTGCCTCAGAAAATGATTGCAAGTAAAAATGTAAAGTAACTGCCCTAAAGACAGTTCAGTGTTTCCCTCCATCCCCCTCTCTCCCTGTCTTTTCCCTTCACCTTCTACTCTCCTCCTCACCATAGCACAATGACCGACTTTGTTCCGTTTAAGAATCCTGTTTAATGAATGTATGGTACTCTATTTAACTAGGGACACTGTATTTTGTACTGCTGTTACCAACTCTTGCCTCTTATGGAATACTTTAGAGACAATCACTCCACTAGTCTTAGTTAGCAGAGCTCCTTAGAGCGAAATTTAAAAGCAGGGTTGCGGGGGGTGGTCTCCTTTTTTTTTTTTTTTTGGAGTTTCCCTTGGTCCTCTCATCAAGTTAATTACTATTCTAAGTATACTTCACGTGGAACAGTTATTCTCTTGTACCTAGAACAGAGGAAATCTTTATTTTAAAATGTGAGCTAAGATAACGCTGTGTCAGTGTCTGACCTTGGGCGGCTCATTTCCCAATTAGGAAAACTGGAGACAGCCAGTCATGGCTTTGGAGGAGTCCCCTGAAAGCACCGTAGCTGGTCTCCCTTGAATATCCAGGCACAGACATTTCCCTGGCCTCCTGACTTGGTCTGTTTGGGCTGGTATAACAAAATACCTTGGACTGGGCAATTTATAAATTATTATAAACAGAAATTTATTGCTCAGAGTTCTGGAGGTTGGGAAGTCCAAGATCAAGGTGCCAGCAGATTTGTTTCTTGGTGAGGGCTCTCTTCTTCACAGATGGCACCTTCTTGCTGTGTCCTCACATGGTGGAAGAGCAAAGAGGAACCGACAGGCTTCCCCAGGCCTCTTTTATAAGGGCACTAATCCAATCATGAAGGGTTTGCCCTCATGACCAAATTATCCTCAAAGGCCCTACTTTCTAATACCATCACTTAGGGGTTAGGTTTTAACCCATGAATTTTGGAAGGATACAAACATTCAGACCATAGCACCTCCTAACAAGCCATGGCTAAAAGAAAAAAGCTACCTACCCTCTTGGCTGTGAGAACACATTTTTGTGCATTTTGTACCGACCCATGTTATTAAGGGCCCTACACAGAAAGCCTGGGACAGTGGATGGAGTGTTGAGACCCTGACATGCCCAGTTAAGTCCTGATGTGAGAACCCCAGCCAGGGAACATGGGGACTTGGAAAATACTTCTTGAATGGCAGCAGCCTTCAAGACAAGAGTCAGCCAACATCATAGTTAGGTCAAAAGGTTGATGCTCAGAGTCTAAATGGTTTTTGTATATGGGCCATTGTAAAACACATATTTACACAATAAATACTGTGAAACAAAATTAGAACAGGCCTGTTTGTGGCTCTTAATAGTACAAATTGGAAACTGGAGAAAAACCGTGATTTATTTAAAAACATTTTTGTAAAAGCTTTTGCCTTTTCTGGAGTGTGTCTCTTGATGATACATAATGATTCTATTCAAGGTCTATGACTATTACATGAAAAACACTACCACAGTCACACACACAAAAATCTGTCAAGTTAATTGGAACCTTTTTGTATTGTTGGTGGTGGGAATGTAAAATGTTGCAGCTACTGTGGAAAACAGTATGGTGGTTCCTCAAAAAATTAAAAATAGAATGACCATATGATCCAGTAATTCCACTTCTAAGCACGTACCCTAAAGAATTGAAAGCAAGGTCTCAAAGAGATATTGGTACACATATGTTCATAGGAGCATTATTCACAACAGCCAAGAGATGCAAGCAACCCAACTGACCATTGACAGATGAATGCATGAACAAAATGTGATGTATACATACAATGGAGTGTTATTCAGCATTAAAAAGGAAGAAAATTCTGACACATACCACAACGTGGATGAACCTTACTAAGTGAAATGTGTGAATCATGCCAAATGAAATAAGCCAGTCACCAAAAGACAAATACGGTGTGATTCCACTTATATGAGGTACCCAGAGTAGTCAAATTCATAGAGACAGGGTAGAATGGTGGTTGCCAGGGGTTGGGGAAGGGGAGAATGGAGAGCTATTGCTTCATGGGTATAGAGTTTCCATTTTGCAAGATAAAGAGTCCTGGAGAGAATGGTGGTGATCATTGCACAACAATATGAATATATTTAATACTACTGAACTGTACACTTAAATGTGATTAAGATGCTAAATATCTTGGGTGTCTTTTATCACAATAAAAAATATATCAAGCTAAATGCCCCACAGTGCTGTGGTGAGTTATTTCTGTGCATGGCAAGATAGTCTCAAGTAACAGATAAAGTTAGGTTATCTCTCACATATTTGACTTCCAGCTGGTTAATTCCCATTTACCCTGCAGATCTCACTGAAAACATTGCTTTCTTCAGGAAGTCCTCCTTGGCTCCCAGCCTAGGCCAGGTCTCCCTGTAACATTCACTTCTCCTCTGGGCTGCCGTTTCTTAAGTGCATTCTTTGTGTCAGTTGTTGCTCTAGGTGAGTATGTTCAATTCACCATGATAACCAGAACTGTAACTTCTTGCTTAATGTTTTCTCTTCTGCTACAACATGAATTCTATGATCCAGGAAAAGAATCTGCCTTGTTCTATGCTGTGTCTCCATGTTCAGTATAGTACTTGCTAGACACTTAATGAGTATTGGTCAAATAAACACTACTGTGAATGTCAATAAAATGTCTACTTTTGCTTGTCTCCCTGTAGATTTTAATACTGCTTTTCTCTTATGCATTGAGATTGGCAGAGGTTTTTCTGTAAGATCTATAGATAACATCAAGAATACAGTTTTAAAACCAGAAACTCTTAAAAATATTAATGGCAAATCTCATTTAGCCATTCTTGGTAGCTGCCAGAATCCCAAACATGCATTTCTAGTAGGTTCTCATGTCTTTGGGGACTGACTCTGCTGTGTTTCTTCTAGGCTTCTAAAGACTTAACTAAATAGAAGATGGCCATTAATGTCCTTCCTGATGTTTTTATACAATATCCTTTACTTTTCAAGGACAGAAAAGGCTTGAACTTTGGATCATGTAGTAACCAAAGGTAGGTCATCTTTATTTTATTTTATTTTATTTATTTATTTTTTGAGACAGAGTCTCACTCTGTGGCCCAGGCTGGAGTGCAGTGGCTTGATCTCGGCTCACTGTAAGCTCTGCCTCCTGGGTTCAGGCCATTCTCCTGCCTCAGCCTCCCGAGTAGCTGGGACTACAGGCACCTGCCACCACACCCAGCTAATTTTTTTTGTATTTTTAGTAGAGATGGGGTTTCATCGTGTTAGCCAGAATGGTCTCGATCTCCTGACCTCGTGATCCACCCACCCCAGCTCCCAAAGTGCTGGGATTACAGGCGTGAGCCACCGCGCCCAGCTGGTCATCTTGATTTAGACTGATCCCCAAAGGGTTCCCAGAAAGTCTGGGGTTCACCCAAAGTTTATAGGCCAAGGAGTATTTGTGTTTCTCCCTCTTTTTTTTTTTTTCACTCTACTCTTAAAGCTGTTTCATATGATCCCATTTTAATGACAGCTTCCTCCAATACTCTAGACTGGGCCTGCAATACGTTTAGCATTTCAGGGAGTTTACATTATTGTAGTTTTAATCCCAGAATCAAGTTAATTACTATTCTGTCAGAATCAGCTGCCAGAATATTTATTACTTCAGTCAATCGAAGCTGGCCATTCAAAACTTTGTTGGTGAATACTTGCTTTTTTTTTTTTTTTCTTGAGATGGAGTCTTGCTCTGTCTCCCAGGCTGGAGTGCAGTGGCACGATCTTGGCTCACTGCAACCTCTGCCTCCCAGGTTCATGCCATTCTCCTACCTCAGCCTCCTGAGTAGCTGGGACTACAGGCGCCCGCCACCACGCCCGGCTAATTTTTTGTATTTTTACCAGAGACCGGGTTTCACCGTGTTAGCCAGGATGGTCTCGATCTCCTGACCTTGTGGTCCACCTGCCTCAACCTCCCAAAGTGCTGTGATTATAGGGGTGAGCCACCGCGCCTGGCCAAATGCTTGCTTTTTTGTAGTTTCTGAGGTTAGCAGAAAGCTTGGTATGTTGTTTAATCTTACTGATATAGTTAGGTTGCAACATATGCAATGAGAGTTGCTTTCCATTCTAAATACTGGAACTTTTCTATTTTAAACATATATCAAAGGAAGTAAATAGGTTATTTGAAATCACATTTTCAAAAAATTACTACCAGATTTTTAGTGTTATCATCTGCTTTGAATGAATAAAAACATAAAGTCCATTTCATCTGCTTGCTTTCCAATTTTTAAGATTACTTATTGAGTCAACTGAATTAACATTGTTTTCTAACACATCAAAAGAGGTTGAATCTTCAATAACCAAAGAAACCTCAAGTACATACTGATGTGTTTCTTTTTTTAGATAAACATTTATTAAGTTACTATAGCTCCTTTGCTCTCTTAGAATAGGAATTTGCAGGATATTTCCTTGGTTACTAACTTGCCTGATTAGTAATTAAATTTTACTTTATTCTGATTAGGGAAATACATTTTCCCTCAATGAAATGGAATGGTATATACTTGCTACAATTACTAGATCAAATATGGCCAAGAAAGACCCAGAATTTCTCCTTCACTTATGAAACTTAATTTGGCTGGATATGAAATTCTGGGTTGAAAAGTCTATTCTTTAAGAATGTTGAATATTGGCCCCCAGTCTCTTCTGGCCTGTAGAGTTTCTGCCAAGAGATCAGCTGTTAGTCTGATGGGCTTCCCTTTACAGACAAGCAAATGCTGAGAGATTTGGTCACCACCAGGCCTGCCCTAAAAGAGTTCCTGAAGGAAGCACTAAACATGGAAAGGAACAACTGGTACCAGTTACTGCAAAAACATGCCAAATTGTAAAGACCATCAATCCTAGGAAGAAACTGCATCAACTAACGAGCAAAATAACCAGCTAACATCATCATGACGGGATCAAATGCACACATAACAATATTAACCTTAAATGTAAATGGGCTAAATGCTCCAATTAAAAGACACAGACTGGAAAATTGGATAAAGAGTCAAGACCCATCAGTGTGCTGTATTCAGGAAACTGATCTCACGTGTAGAGACACACATAGGCTCAAAATAAAGGGATGGAGGAAGCTCTATCAAGCAAATGGAAAACAAAAAAAGGCAGGGGTTGCAGTCCTAGTCTCAGATAAAACAGACTTTAATCTAACAAAGATCAAAAGAGACAAAGAAGGCCATTACATAATGGTAAAGGGACCAATTTAACAAGAAGAGCTAACTATCCTAAATATATATGCACCCAATACAGGAGCACCCAGATTCATAAAGCAAATCCTTAGAGACCTACAAAGAGACTTAGACTTCCACACAATAATAATGGGAGACTTTAACACCCCACTGTCAACATTAGACAGATTAACAAGACAGAAAGTTAACAAGGATATCCAGGAATTGAACTCAGCTCTGCATCAAGCAGACCTAACAGACATCTACAGAACTCTCCACCCCAAATCAACAGAATATACATTCTTTTCAGCACCACACCACACCTATTCTAAAATTGACCACATAGTTGGAAGCAAAGCACTCCTCCGCAAATGTAAAAGAACAGAAATTATAACAAACTGTCTCTCAGACCACAGTGCAATCAAACTAGAACTCAGGATTAAGAAACTCACTCAAAACCGCTCAACTACATGGAAACTGAACAACCTGCTCCTGAATGACTACTGGGTACATAACGAAATAAAGACAGAAATAAAAATGTTCTTTGAAACCAATGAGAACAAAGACACACATACCAGAATCTCTGGGACACATTCGAAGCAGTGTGTAGAGGGAAATTTATAGCACTAAATGCCCACAAGAGAAAGCAGGAAAGATCTAAAATTGACACTCTAACATCACAATTAAAAGAACTAGAGAACCAAGAGCAAACACATTCAAAAGCTAGCAGAAGGCAAGAAATAACTAAGATCAGAGCAGAACTGAAGGAAATACAGACACAAAAAACCCTTCAAAAAATTCATGAATCCAGGAGCTGGTTTTTTGAAAAGATAAACACAATTGATAGACCGCTAGCAAGACTAATAAAGAAGAAAAGAGAGAAGAATCAAATAGACACAATAAAAAATGACAAAGGGGATACCACCACCGATCCCACAGAAATACAAACTATCATCAGAGAATACTATAAACACCTCTATGCAAATAAACTAGAAAATCTAGAAGAAATGGATAAATTCCTTGACACATACACCCTCCCAAGACTAAACCAGGAAGAAGTGGAATCTCTGAATAGACCAATAACAGGATCTGAAATTGAGGCAATAATTAATAGCTTACCAACCAAAAAAAGTCCAGGACCAGATGGATTCACAGCTGAATTCTACCAGAGGTAGAAGGAGGAGCTGGTACCATTCCTTCTGAAACTATTCCAATCAATAGAAAAACAGGGAATCCTCCCTAACTCATTTTATGAGGCCAGCGTCATCCTGATACCAAAGCCTGGCAGAGATACAACAAAAAAAGAGAATTTTAGACCAATATCCCTGATGAACATTGATGCAAAAATCCTCAATAAAATACTGGCAAACCGAATCCAGCAGCACATCAAAAAGCTTATCCACCATGATCAAGTGGGCTTCGTCCCTGGGATGCAAGGCTGGTTCAACATACAAAAATCAATAAACATAATCCAGCATATAAACAGAACCAAAGACAAAAACCACATGATTATCTCAATAGATGCAGAAAAGGCCTTTGACAAAATTCAACAGCCCTTCATGCTAAAAACTCTCAATAAATTAGGTATTGATTGGATGTATCTCAAAATAATAAGAGCTATCTATGAGAGACCCACAGCCAATATCATACTGAATGGGCAAAAACTGGAAGCATTCCCTTTGAAAACTGGCACAAGACAGGGATGCCCTCTCTCACCACTCCTATTCAACATAGTGTTGGAAGTTCTGGCCAGGGCAATCAGGCAGGCGAAGGAAATAAAGGGCATTCAATTAGGAAAAGAGGAAGTCAAATTGTCCCTGTTTGCAGATGACATGATTTTATATCTAGAAAACCCCATCTTCTCAGCCCAAAATCTCCTTAAGCTGATAAGCAACTTCAGCAAAGTCTCAGGATACAAAATCAATGTACAAAAATCACAAGCATTCTTATAAACCACTAACAGACAAACAGAGAGCCAAATCATGAGTGAACTCCCATTCACAATTGCTTCAAAGAGAATAAAATACCTAGGAATCCAACTTACAAGGGATGTGAAGGACCTCTTCAAGGAGAACTACAAACTGCTGCCCAATGAAATAAAAGAGGATACAAACCAATGGAAGAACATTCCGTGCTCATGGGTAGGAAGAATCAATATCATGAAAATGGCCATACTGCCCAATTTATAGATTCAATGCCATCCCCATCAAGCTACCAATGACTTTCTTCACAGAACTGGAAAAAACTACTTTAAAGTTCATATGGAACCAAAAAAGAGCCTGCGTCGCCAAGTCAATCCTAAGCCAAAAGAACAAAGCTGGAGGCATCACACTACCTGACTTCAAACTATACTACAAGGCTACAGTAACCAAAACAGCATGGCACTGGTACCAAAACAGAGGTATAGACCAATGGAACAGAACAGAGTCCTCAGAAATAATGCCACATATCTACAACTATCTGATCTTTGACAAACCTGAGAAAAACAAGAAATGGGGAAAGGATTCCCTATTTAATAAATAGTGCTGGGAAAACTGGCTAGCCATATGTAGAAAGCTGAAACTGGATCCCTTCCTTACACCTTATACAAAAATTAATTCAAGACGGTTTAAAGACTTACATGTTAGACCTAAAACCATAAAAATCCTAGAAGAAAACCTAGGCAATACCATTCAGGACATAGGCATGGGCAAGGACTTCATGTCTAAAACACCAAAAGCAATGGTAACAAAAGTCAAAATTGACCAATGGGATCTAATTAAACTAAAGAGCTTCTGCACAGCAAAAGAAACTACCATCAGAGTGAACAGGCAACCTACAGAATGGGAGAAAATTTTTGCAACCTACTCATCTGACAAAGGGCTAATATCCAGAATCTACAATGAACTCAAACTAATTTATGAGAAAAAAACAAACAACCCCATCAAAAAATGGGCGAAGGATATGAACAGACACTTCTCAAAAGAAGACATTATGCAGCCAAAAAACACATGAAAAAATGCTCATCATCACTGGCCATCAGAGAAATGCAAATCAAAACCAAAATGAGATACCATCTCACACCAGTTAGAATGGCAATCATTAAAAAGTCAGGAAACAACAGGTGCTGGAGAGGATGTGGAGAAATAGGAACACTTTTACACTGTTGGTGGGACTGTAAACTAGTTCAACCACTGTGGAAGTCAGTGTGGTGATTCCTCAGGGATCTAGAACTAGAAATACCATTTGACCCAGCCATCGCATTACTAGGTATATACTCAAAGGATTATGAATCATGCTGTTATAAAGACACATGCACACGTATGTTTATTGCGGCACTACACACAACAGCAAAGACTTGGAACCAACCCAAATGTCCAACAGTGATAGACTGGATTAAGAAAATGTGGCACATATACTATGGAATACTATGCAGCCGTAAAAAATGATGAGTTCATGTCCTTTGTAGGGACATGGATGAAGCTGGAAACCATCATTCTCAGCAAACTATCGCAAGGACAAAAAACCAAACACCGCATGTTCTCACTCATAGGTGGGAACTGAACAATGAGAACACATGGACACAGGAAGGGGAACATCACACATCGGGGACTGTTGTGGGGTGGGGGAGGGGGGAGGGATAGCATTAGGAGATATACCTAATGCTAAATGATGAGTTAATGGGCGCAGCACACCAATATGGCACATGTATACATATGTAACAAACCTGCACATTGTGCACATGTACCCTAAAACTTAAAGTATAATATTAATAAAATTAAAAAAAAAGAAAGACCCAGAATTATGTATAAATACAATGACACATAAGCTTCAAAGTGTATAGCCTGAAAAATGGTGCTTCAGGGATTTAAAATTCCAACTGGTGAATTGTAATAGAAATATAAATTTTGTAAATGAAATAGATAGTGAATTAAAAATCAAACCTCTTTCTTTTAAATGAGTTATATTTTTCTGGCATAGATAAATGATATACAGGAAGACTTTCGCTTCTGACAGCATGGAATAGAGAATTAGAAAAAGGACCGCCAAATTTACTCAAAGTAAGAAAAATGGAGAAAAAGAGCAGAAAATAATGAAATACAAAAAAAGAAAAGATAATGTCAAGGAAGCCAAACCTAGCTCTTTGAAAAGATTAATGAAATAGACAAACGTCTGGTGAGACTGATCAAGAAACAATGAGAGAAGGCATGAATAGACAATATCAAAATAGAAAAGGGGCATAATTACAGATCTGGGAGGTATTTATTTTTTCTTTTTAAATAGCCAAGTTCAAGAGGAAATATCTGGGAGATATTACAAAGGTAAGAGAAAAGTGTCCACAACTTTCTGCCTATGCATTAGAAAAATTAATGAAATGAACTAATTCCTAGAAATGCTTAAGTACCAAAATTCATTGAAGAAATAGGAAGCCTAGATCATACTACAGCAATAAAATAAAATGAATGAGTGGTTAAATGCTTCACCACAAGAAAACATCAGCTAGATGGCTTTGAAGGCAAGCCCCACTAAACTTTCAGGCAGCAGATTTTTCAATCCTTTGCTAACACTTGTTTTTTTTTAAATTTATTTTATTATTATTATACTTTAAGTTTTAGGGTACATGTGCACAATGTGCAGGTTTGTTACATATGTATACACCCATTAACTCATCATTTAACATTAGGTATATCTCATCATTTAACATTAGGTATATCTCCTAATGCTATCTCTCCCCTCTCCCCCCAACCCACAACAGTCCCTGATGTGTGATGTTCCCCTTCCTGTGTCCATGTGTTCTCATTGTTCAATTCCCACCTATGAGTGAGAACATGCGGTGTTTGGTTTTTTGTCCTTGCGATAGTTTGCTGAGAATGATGATTTCCAGTTTCATCCATGTCCCTACAAAGGACAAGAACTCATCATTTTTTATGGAATCAAAACAAGTGTTAGCATGGAATGCTAACACTTGTTTTGATTTCTGTGTTAATCCAAGTCCTCTGAGAAGCAAATGCCAAAGCAGAATTAAAAGTGCAATAATTTTATTGGGCAAAATTCTTGTGATATAAAATGGTATGGAGCTGGGGAGAACTGTCAGAAAGGAAAGGAGAGGAAGAGAGGGGGCACAGAGGCATCCTAGACTCCTGGGCAGTCAAGGAGAGGTTTGGCAGAGTTGGAGGGCAGATGAATCACTCAGGAATGGACTATCTGAGTCTCCCTGCAAGCTCAGTCATCATCTGGGAGCAGCCCAAGGGAAGCAAGGCCTTGGGCACACACAGCAATGGCACTCAGAGTCCAGCCTCGGCTCTGGGTTAGTTTTGCTTCCTCTTGGTGATCTGTGTATACTCATAGCAGCCTCAATTCTAAAACCAGGAGTGGATGAGAAAGGAAACATAGAAGCCATTCCTATTTATTAATATAGATTTAAAAATTCTAAACACATACTAGAAAACCACATCCAACAATAAATAAAAATGATAATGCTATGACCAAGTCAGGTTTGTCATACAAACTCAATAGTAGTTTAACGTTAGACAATCTATAAACATAATTAACCACACTAGCAGGTCAAATGAAGAAAAAATCTTAGCAAATGAGAAACATAAGGTATTTTCGTAACCTGATAAAGTGGCTGGTTAACAGTCTACAGCAATTATCATTTTTAATGATGAAATGTTATAATTATTCCATTTAAAATTAGGGCTAATGGAACGATGGTACACTCAATAAGGCTTCAACACTGTGCTGAAGTCCTAGCTAGTGTAGTTGGAGAAATACTGGAAAAGAAGAAGCAATACTATCATTATTAATATATAACATAATAGTTTGTGTAGAAAATAAAAAAGAATCTACAAAGTGTCAGGAATAATAAGACAAGTACACAAAAGTAAATTGCCTTGCTATGTGCCAGCAGCAACGACAAGAAAAACATAGTTTCATAAATATATCATTTAAAACAGTAACAACAAATAAAAGATAGCTAACAATAAATCTAAGATTTGCAACACTTGTAAGCAGAAAATTTTTAAACTTTACTGAAAGATATTAGAGAATATTTAATTCAATGTATAAACATATGATGCTCTTGAATAGGAAGATTTAACTTTACAAAGATGTTAATTATCTCCATATTGATTTAGAGGTTTAAAACAATTCCAATAAAAATCCCAACTAGGTTTGGAGTTTCTAGGGGAATCTGAAAAATTAATATGTAAGAGCAAAGGCCTAAGAATAGCTAATACACAGAAGAAGGAGGAGGAGAAGGAAAGAGGAGGAGGAGGAAGAAAGAGGAAGAGAAAGAAAAAGTATACTTGCTCTGGCAGATACAAAGACTTATGATAAGGATACAGGTATTGACAGAATCATGTTGATGTAGGGATTGAAAGCCAAAACAGGAAAGAGAGCTCAAAAACAGATGACATCTATTTCTATGGAAACGGAATTTAAGACAGAGAAAGAGTAACAAATTAGTGGGTAAAGAAGAGACAGTTTTCTTGCCATACACAACAGTTAAATCCTGACAAATTAACAACTTGAGTGTGAAAAGCAAATCTTTGAGACTTTTAGAGGCTTATGCATGTTCAGGCTCTGTGTAGTAAAGGATTTCTTAAACAAGATATTACCCATGCAAATCTAAAAGATAAATTTAGCTGTGTTAAACTCAAGAATTTCCTTTCATCTAAGGACACTAGAAAGATAGTAAAAGACATGTTGTCAACTGAAAGAATATATTTGCAACATTTATAACTGATAAAAATATTAGAGCAATACATGATTTTTTTTTCTTTTTTGATGGAGTCTCGCTCTGTTGCCCAGACTGGAGTGCGGTGGCGTGATCTTGGCTTGCTGCAACCTCCGCCTCCTGGGTTCAAGAAATTCTCCCTGTCTCACCCGCCCCCCCGAGTAGCTTGGATTACATGCTCCTGCCACCATACCCAGCTAATTTTTTTATTTTTTAGTAGAGACAGGGTTTCGCTATGTTGGCCAGGCTGGTCTTGAATGCCTGACCTCAGATGATCCACCCGCCTCGACCTCCCAAAATGCTGGGATTACAGGCATGAGCCACTGCACTCAGCCAGCAAGCAATACATGATTTGAGATGCCAGGCACTCATCCTCCACACAAGAAAGGATAAAGGCCATGAAAGAGAGCTAAGGTTTGACTGGAGGTCGAAGGGAGAGTGCTGGAGTGTAGTGTGGAGTCGACAGACACTTCTGAAGCCTTGTCTCCCCTTCCCAGATTATGCTGGCATGGAGTCTGGAAGGACTTCCAAATGTGGGGAAAGGAAAGCAGAAGATCCCAACCAGCCCCCATTGCCATTGCAAACACTAACAGCTTTTACTACAGAAGAATCCCATAGTCCTTGCAAGCCCTGAGCCCAGTTTGGAGAGCTGCCAGGAACTCACACAGTTGCATTGCTCCAGATTAGAAGTGCAAAGTGTGCACTCCCTTCCTCCCACCCACTCCCTGTGAAGCTACTTTAGCATGGCACCACCTCTTGAGTTCATTCTACTCTGACAGCCAGCAGCCACTGGACTTTTCTAGCCCTGAGGCTTTGTCTTCATTCCACCAAGCCCATACAGGTGGCTGAACACCACAACTCCAGCTGTGCAGATCCTGGGCCTAGGATCAGCTGTGATTCTAGTCCTGCACATTAGGGAAACTAATCTCTGTGACCTCCACTTCCAGCAAGAGAAACAGTCTGGCAGTCCCCCCAAGGCAAACTTGCCCTTGAGCCAGTCAAACTTCTATGTGCCTTCCCCCAAGCAGGAAAGGTCCTCAAGCCACTAAGCAGCTGGCATGTCCCCAGGCTGGCAGGGTGTCTACATGCCCATACCCAGAGCCTGAGAAATAGCACAGGTAGTTCCTGGCCTGCCCAAAGGCCCTGTGCCCACAAGCAGGGCCTGAGTAACAGTCTTGTAGGTTGCCCCTGGCAGACACATCCCCAGGCAGAGAACCCCCAGGCCAATTGAGCAGACTGGTACCTGTGTTCTGGTCTTGAGAAACATCCTCATGGGCCATACCTGGTAGACACCTCCAGGCTGGCTGTGAAACCACATGCCTGTGCCCCCAGCCGGAATAACATCACTGTGGCCCCAACCTCAGCAAGCTGACCCAAGTTGGCTGACACACTGCGTATGTGCACATGCCCACAACCTGAGAAACAGCCCAGTGAGCCCACACCTGGCAAAGTTAAACTGCCAACACAAATGGTCATAGCCTAGGCCACTGAGACACTCATAAACATCACTGGTGTGGATTATAGCTGAAGAAAATACATATAAACAATAGTATTGTGTCCACCTAGAACCAAAGCCAATGCACTCCACCAAATTGACATCCCAAGACCCACCCATATGAGTAAGTCTTTTTCTACAAAGTGCACTCCATAAAATTGGAAGAGGTGAATTTTCCACCAGATGCATAGACATCAATGTAGGTATACATCAAACATGAAAAAGCAAAGAAACATGACACCTCCAAAAGAACAAAATAATTCTCCAGTAACAGACCCTAATCATAAGAAGATATACAAAATTCCAGAAATGAAATTCAAGATAAGAATCTTAAGGAAACACAGTGAGATACAAGTGAACACAGACAATTCTAAAAAACTAGGAAAACCATTCATTATTTAAAAGAGAAGTTCAACAAAGACACAGAAATAATAACAAAGAACCAAACAGAAATTCTAGAGCCAAAAGAACACAGTGAATGAATTAAGAAATACAATCAAGAGCTTCGACAACACATTAGGCCAAGCAGAAGAAAGAATTTCTGAACTTCAAAACAGGCTTTAAAAAATATCACAGGCAGACAAAAAATAATAAAAAGTAAAAAGGAATGAAGAAAATCCATAGGATTTATGGGACACCAGTAGGTAAACAGATGTTCACCTTAGAGTGTTCCAGAAGAAGAGATTGGAAAAGGTATATAAAACATATTTAATAAAATAATAACTGAAAAATTACCAAGTCTTGAGAGAGAGATGGACATCCAGATTCAGGTTGCCCAAAGAACCCTAAACAGATTCAACCCAAACAGGTCCTCTCCAAGGAACACTATATTCAAATTGGTAAAATGTAGAGACATAGAAAGAATTCTAAAAAGCGCAAAAGTGTCAAATTATTTATAAGGAAATAACATTAGACTAACAGTGGATTTCTTGGCAGAAACCTTACAGGCCAGGAAAGGATGGGATGATATATTCAAAGTACTGAATGAAAAGAAAAAAAACCTTCCAACTTAGAGTATTATACCCAGCAAAGCTATTCTTCAGAAATGAAGGATAAATAATATCTTTCAAAACAAATAAAAACTAAAGGGATTCTTCACCACTAGACTAACCTTACAAGAAATGCTCAAGGGAGTCCTACATCTGGAAGTGGAAAATTGTTAACTACCATTATAAAAACATGCAAAACTATAAAACTCACTGGTAGAGCCAATAAACAAAGGAGAAAGAAAAAAAGGGATTAAAACCTTATCACTACAGAAAACTGCTCAACCACAAAAATAAGCAAAAAGGGAAGAAGGAACAAAAGGTGTACAAACAACCAGAAAAAATTTGATAAAATGACAGGAGAAAGTCCTTGTGTATCAATAGTAACCTTGACTATAAATAGATTAAATTTCCCATTTAAGAGTTATAGACTGGCTGAATGCTTTAAAAAAAACTCAAAAAAACAAAAACAACAACAAAAAAGGCAAGACCCAAGTCTATGCTGCCTACAAGAAACTCACCTTATCTGTAAAGACACACATAAACTGAAAGTGAAGGAATTGAAAAAGATATTTCACACAAACAGAAACCAAAACCAAGCAGTAATAGCTATATTTATGTCAGACAAAACCAACTTCAAGTCAAAAGCTGGAAAATGAGATAATTAAGTATACTAATAATAAAGGAATCAATTCAGCAAAAGAATATAACAATTATAAATATATATGCACCCAACATGGAAGCACCTAGATATATACAACAAATATTAGATCAAAAGGGAGACATAAAACTCAATACAATAATAGCTGACAACTTCAGCACTTCACTGTCAGCATTGGACAGATCATCTAGACAGAAAAATCAACAAGGAAATATCAGACATTTACAGAACATTTCACCCAATAGCTGCAGACACACATTCTTTTCATCAGCACATGGAAAATTTTGCAGAATTCACCATATGTTAGGACACAAAACAAGTCTCAAAAAGTTTTTAAATATCAAAATTATATCAAGTACCTTATCAGACTACAATATAATAAAACCAGAAATCAATACAAAGAAAAACGTTCAAAACTGTATAAATGCCTGGAAATTAAAAAAAAAAAAACATGCTCCTGAATGACCAATAGGTGAAGAAAGAAATTAATAATGAAATTAAGAATCCCTTGAAACAAATGAAAATAGAAACACAACATAAAAAATTCTATAGCACACAGCAAAAGCAGTATTGAGTCAACTTTATAGCAATAAATGCCTACATTTAAAAAGTAGAAAGATTTCAAATAACCTAAAGATGCCTCTCAAGGAATAAGAAAAGCAAGAACAAATCAAACTCAAAATTGGTAGAAGGAAAGAAATAATAAAGATCAAAGTAGAAATAAACAACATTGAGACTAAAAAAATACAAAATATCAATGAATAAAAAGTTTTTTTTAAAGTTAAACAAGATTGATAAATCATTATCTGAACTAAGGAAAAAAGAGAGAAAACCCAACTAAATAAAATTAGAAACAAGAAAGGGGAATACAAAAGATCATTAGAGACTACTATGAACAACTACATGCCAATACATTTGAAAACCTAGAGGAAATGGATAAATTCCTAGAAGCAAACAATCTACCAAGACTGAACCAAGAATAAATAGAAAACTTGAACACAGCAATAACAAGTAACAAGATTAAATAAAAAGTCTCCCAACAGAAACAAGTCTAGGACCAGATGGCTTCACCACTGAATTCTGCCCAATCTTTAAAGAAGAATTAATACCAATTCTTCTCAAACTATTCTTAAAAATGGAAAAGAAAAGAACCCTTTCTAACTTATTCTATTAGGCCAGCCTACCCCTGATACCAAAATCAGACAAAGACATTACATAAAAAGGAAAATACAGGCCAATATCCCTGATGAACATAGATGTAAAAATCATTAAAAAAAAATACTAGCAAACTCAATCCAACACTACATCAGAAAGATAATACACCATGAACAAATGGGATTTATCCCAAGAATGCAAGGATGGTTTAACATACACAAATCAATAAATGTGATAAATCACATCAACAGAATGAAGGACAAAACCCACGTGATCATCTCAATGGATGCAAAAAAAGCATTTGGTAATAGTTAACATCCCTTCATGATAAAAACTCTCAATAAATTTGGTATAGAAGGAAAGTTCCTGAACACAATAAAGACCCTATATGACAAACCCATAGCAAACACCATACTGAATGGGGGAATGCTGAAAGCTTTTCCTCTAGGAACTGGAACAAGGCAAGGATGGCCACAATCACAACTCTTTGTCTTTTTTCTTTTTCTTTTCTTTCATTTTTTTTTTTCTTGAGACAGAGTCTCACTCTGTCACCCAGGCTGGAATGCAGTGGTGTGATCTTGGCTCACTGCAACCTCCACCTCCCAGGTTCAAGTGATTCTCATGTCTCAGTGTCCCGAGTAGCTGGGATTACAGGGGTGCACCACCACACCTGGCTAATTTTTTTTTATTTTTAGTAGAGACAGGGTTTTGCTATGTTGGTCAGGCTGGTCTTGAACTCCTGGCCCCAAGCCACCTGCCTGCCTTGGCCTCCCAAAGTCCTGGTATCACAGGCATGAGTCACTGCATCTGGCCTCTTTTTCTTTTTACTTTTTCACCTTTATTTCCACAGGTGTTGATACAACCCTTTCAACATAGTACTGGAAGTCCTAGCCAGAGCAATTGGTCAAGAGAAAGAAATAAAGATCATCTAAATTGTAAGAGAGGAAGTCAAATTGTCCCTGCTTGCAGGTGACAGATCTTATATATATAAAAACCTGAAAACTCCACCAAAACGTCTTAGAACTAATAAATGAATTCAGTAAAGTTGCAAGATACAAAATCAACATACAAAACTCAGTAGTATTTCTCTACACTAATTACAAACTAGCTGAAAAAGAAATCAAGACAGCAATCTCATTTACTATAGCTATAAAAAATGAGACACCTGGAAATAAATCTAACCAAGGAGGTGAAAGACCTCTACAAGGAAACCTATAAAACATTGATGAAATAAATTGAAAAGGTTACAAACAAATGGAAAGATATCCCATACTCATGGATAGAAATAATTAATATCATTAACATGATCATATGACCCAAAGCCACCTAAAGATCCAATAAAATCCCCACCAAATTACCAATGAAATTCTTACAGAAAGAAAAAAAAAACTATCTTAAAATTTGTATGGAACTCAAAAGACCCCAAATAGCCAAAGCAATTCTAAGCAAAAAGAACAAAGCTAGAGGCATCACCCTGCCAGACCTCAAAATATGCTACAAAGCTGTAGTATGTTTAATGAAGACAGCACGGTACTGGCATAAAAACAGACACAAAGGCCAATGGAACAGAATAGAGGATCCAGAAATTAATTCATGTGTCTATAGACAACTGATTTTTGACAAAGTTGCTAAGAATACACAATGGTGTAAAGACAGTTTCTTCAATAAATGGTGCTGGGAAAACTGGATATCCATATGCAGAAGAATGGAACTAGACTCCTGCCTCTCACCCTATATAAAAATCGACTCAAAATGCTTAAAGACCTAAATATGACACCCAAAAGTACAAAACTACTAGAAGAAAACATAGGGGAAATATTTCAGGATATTGGTCTGGGAAACAATTTTATAAATACAACCTCAAAAACACAGGCAACAAAAGCAAAAATAAACCAACTGGATTATAACAAACCAAATGGCTTCTGTACAGCAAAGGAAACAATCAACAGAGTGAAAAGACAATCTACAGAATGGGAGAAAGTATTTACAAACTATTCACCTGACAGGGCATTATATCCAGAATATAAAAGGAACTTAAATAACTCAACAGCAAAAAATGCTCAATCTGATTAGAAAAGGGGCAAATGATCTGTGCAGATATTTATCAAAATAAAGACATATAAATGGCCAATAAATATAAGAAAAAATGCTCAGCATCATTTAATCATTAGGGAAATGAAAATCAAAATCACAATGAGGTTAATACCTCATCCCAGTTAGAATAGCTGTTATCAAAAAGACAAAAACAAAAAACAAAACAAACAAATAAAAAACAAATACTGGTGAGGATGTGGAGAAAAGGGAATGCTTTATTTTTATTTTTATTTATATGCTTTTTTGAGGCAGAGTCTCGCTCTGTCACCCAGGCTGGAGTGCAGTGATGCGATCTCGGCTCACTGCAACCTCCACCTCCTGGGTTCAAGTGATTCTCCTGCCTCAGCCTCCTGAGTAGCTGGGGACTACAGGTGCGTGCCACCATGCCTGGCTAATTTTTTGTATTTTTAGTAGAGATGGGGTTTCACCATGTTAGCCAGGATGGTCTTGATCTCCTGACCTCGTGATCTGCCCACCTTGGCATCCCAAAGTGAGCCACCGCACCTGGCCGAGGGAATTCTTATACACTGTTGGTGGGAATGTAAACTAGTATAGCTACTATGGAGAACAGTTGGAAATATTTCACAAAACTGCAGATAAAACTACAATATGATTCAGCAATCCCACAACTGGTCATTTATCCAAAGGATAGGAAATTGGTGTATCAGAGACATCTGCAACCACCACCCTCCCCACTGCCCATGTTTATTGCAGCACTAATAGCAATAGCCAAGATATAGAATCTACCTAGGTGTCTATCATCAGATGAATGGATAAACAAAATGTGATAAATATACACCATGGAATACTATTTGCCATAAAAAATGAAATCTTGTCATTCATGGCAATATGAATGGAACTGGGGGACATTATGTTAAGTGAAATAAGCCAGGAACAGAAAGTTAAATACTACAAGTTCTCACTCATCTGTGCAAGCTAAACATTGATCTCATAGAAGTAAAAAGTAGAACAGAGGATACTAGAGGCTGGGAAGGGTGTGGGGAAGAGAGGGTTAGGGAGAGATTTGTTAAATGACACAAACTTACAGCTAGGTAGGAGGAATAGGTTCTAGTATTCTATACCACTATAGGATGAATATAATTAACAATAATGCATAGTTTCAAATAGCTAGAAGTAGGGTATTGAATGTTCCCAACACAAAGAAATGATGAACATTTGAGATGATGGACATGCTGATTACCCTAATCAGATCACTATACATTATGTGTTTCAAAACATCACTATGTATGCCATAAATATGTACAGTTACTATATGTCAATTAAAAAATTAAAATTAAAAAAGGAAGAAACTAAAACCCCGATGAAAAAACTGCCAAAACACTTAGGCAAGCATTTCACAGAAAAGAGAATACAAATGGCAAATATGCCCGTGAAAAGATGCTTAACCTCCTTACTAATCAAGGACAGGAAAATTAAGGCCACAGTGAGATTAAAAATGTTATATTCACTAATTGGTAAAAAGTAAGAAATATGAAAATATAAAATTGGTATAATAATACCAAATATTAATGAAGATGTAAATTGACAGGACATTTTTGATGCTGCAGATGGGAGTGTAAATTGATACACTTTAAAAAATAATTGAGAATTCTATTGTAATGGTGAACATTCCCACATCTTATGATTAAGTAAATTCTGTTTCTAAGTGTGTGCTGTATAGAAATTTGTATACAAGCCCTGGGACATCACAAGAATGTTTAGAATTGCATTGTTTGTAAAGCCCCCAAGCTGAAAACAACTTGAATTTCAATCAGTAGGAGAGTGGACATATAAATTGTACTAAAAAGAATCACATGCTGGTTTCACAGTGAAACTTCCTGTGGCAGTGTAATGAGTAACTAGTGCTCTCTGCAACAATGCACATAAAACACGGACAGTGTTTGGCCTCAGGAGCAGGACTGCAGCTGGTGGATAACATTCTGGCTTCTCATTCTCATTCTTTAAATGAGATAAATGGTGGATAACACTGTGGCTTCTCATTCTCATTCTTTAAATAGACAATTCAGGATGTGTTCTATCTGTTTCTCGTGGTAGAATTCCCTCACTAGTGACCATGATGAATGCCCTTCAGTGAGTTTCTCTCCTTCCCCTCTCACTTTCCCTGATCTCTCACTCCTGGTTCCTGGGGTTACTTCCTCAATAAACCACGTTTGCCCCATAACAGTGAGTAAAAAGGCACTTCAGAGAAGACTATAGTACAATGTATTATTTTTATAAATTTCAAAAACATGTTTATTTAGCCAGCAGAAGGGGAAGAACCACTGACATATACAACAACATACATGACAAATCTCACAATAATTATGCTGAGCGATAAGAAAGTCTGACTGGTTTCATTTCATTTTCCAGAAAATGCAAATTAGTTTACATTAAAATAAAGCTGATCAGTGGTTTCCTGAGGGGCACAATGGGGAGGTGTGAGTGGGATTATCAAGGGGCATTCAGAAGCTTTTGGGGATGATGGATATAAATTCATTATCTCGATTATGGTGATGATTTTACAAGTATGTAAACACACCAGAACTTACCAAAGTGTATACTTTAAATAGGTATATTGAATTACTGTATGTGAATTATACCTTACTAAAGCTGTTTAAAAAGCTAAGTAAAACTAAAATATATTTCATTTAGAGATACATATGTATGTGCATGCTTGTGTGTGTGTATGCGATAAAAATAAAAAGCAAGGACATAATACAGACAAAACTGGAACAGTCTTCCCTTTGGTGTGGTGAGGGGGCTGGGTAAGGGATGAGTTAAGGAAAAAAAGATTTATTGGTGGCCTGTGTGTCACATATATGCTTGTGTATGCATCAAATGCTACCTAATACATATTTCAAAGAAATACACACTCTAAAGAAAATTGGGAAAATGCAAAAATTATAAAGAAGAAAACTAGAAATTATCCCTACCTGAAATCTTACCTCCATTTCCATTTTAACCATTTTGGATGAAACTGTTTCCAAGATGTCTTATACGTTTTCTTGCTTTTTGAAAGAGTACTTTAAATGTACTTATTAGTCTGTTCTTGCATTGCTATAAAGAAATATCTGAGACTGGGTAATTTATAAAGAAAATAAATTTAATTGGCTCACAGTTCTGCAGGCTATACAGGAAGCATAGCAGCATCTGCTTCTGGGGAGGCCTCAGGGAGCGTACACTCAGGTGGAAGGTGAAGGGGAAGTGGGCATGTCACATGGCAAAAGTAAGAGCAAGAGAGTGAGGTGGGGAGGTGCCACACACTTTTAAATGACCAGATCTCATGAGAACTCACTCACTAAGGCAAGGACAGCACCAAGTGGATGGCTCTAAACCATTCATGAGAAATCCGCCCCCATGGCCCAATCATCTCCCACCAGGCCCCACATCCGACAGGGGAGGTTACATTTCAACATGAGATTTGCAGGGGACACACATCCAAACTGTATCAGTACTTGAACCTATTTTTATGTTTTCTGATTATTTTTGGTACCAAAGTTACTGTATCGTGCTCTGCGATACTGGTGATCTCAGGACCTGTAGACCTCCAGATGTTTGCTCCTATACTAAATGTCCCAAAGCTGCAGAGCATTTAGGGTTAGTTTCCAGTTTGTTTGTTTTCTGTTAGATTATTATGGAATCATTCTCATCACTAGACTTGTCTTAAATTCCTCGTTTGACCTCTTGCCCCACATCTAATCACATTATTTTGTTTTCCTTCCTAGGTCTGTTTCTCATTTATTTGCTTCTCTCCACCCACCCCACCTCCTGTTGCCCCTCATTCCCTCCCCACCTCTCTTCCCACAGTGCCAAGGCTGTGCAGTCCCGGCTTGCCTCCCTCCTTTCCACCTTCTGTTCCCCACCTCCAGCATGCACCCTGTCCCTCAGCCACAAGGGTGTTCCCCCAAACCTGTCCTGGCGACATTCTCCAGTGCTGCTATCTCTGTAGGGAACATGCTTTCTCCTACCTTTCCTGTCTGCCTGGAAAATCTTGTTGATTTCTAGAATTGCAGCTAAATGTCAGCTCCCCAAGGAAATGTGTACCAACTCAGCAGGCAGGACTGAGCTCTGACTCTGAGAGCCCAAGGCTCTTTCTTCCTGTTCCCAGGGCACATCGATGGTACTGCCCAATTCCTTGCCTCTATCCCCCTTGTGAAAACAAAACCCTGTCCGTCTTGCTTATCTTGTTGCGGTGCCTAGTGCAATGCTGGGGTTACTATTCCAACATCCAGGATTATTGAATAGAAAAGACCAACACCAACTCTTGCCACCATGCTGTGGTCGTAGTCTGATGTTCTAGTGACATTGCTCACACAGTGCAGTTCTGGTTACAGCAGTGTAATGTGTTGTGTTGGAATTGTGGTCTTATGAGACTGTGTGGCCCAGAAGGTCAACAGCTGTGCTTCACAGCTCCTGGTGTCTCTAAGCCTGACATAAAAATAGTTACTGGACATCTGTTTTTTTGGGTAAATAGCTTATGATATTCCTGGAGATGAGAGATGGCTTAGAAAATGGGCAAGCAAAATATGAATATGGAATTTTTCAGAATTCTTCTTATCAAGATCTAAATAGGCATTTTAAACGTCTGCAGCAATATTCCAGTGAGAAATGGTGTTCACGGGAAACCCTCAGGACAGCTAAATGGCAATGTCTGGAGACGGGAAGAGAGTTCAGGGCTCAAGTCATTGATGTGAGAATCACAGCGGGTACCTAGTGTGGAGAGTCACAGCTTTTTAGGAGCCTCTGGGCACACAAGTGCTTCAAATGATTTAAGGCCCCAGGGCTCTCTAGACCATAACTCCTGGTTTCACAACATGGCTCGGTTAGTTTCCAGGATAGTGTCCTCTACTCCCATGCTGCACTCTGTGGCAGAGTCCTCAGATTCTGGGTGGTGGTGCCTGTGTCTTTTGATGAGAAGCTCAGGGGAGACTGCTTGGTGTCACAGGAAAAGGGCTATGGACTAGCCAGGAAGGTGGGCTATGGACTAGGTGGGAAGAGGATAGAGTTTCCTGGGAACAAGGGAACCTGGGAGATGGGCGCCTCAGTTTTGTCAGGACTAGTCCTTGTGGAAGGAGTGACGTTGTGTGCTCTGTGACTGAGGAAAAGCATTAATGGCACAAGATTTATTATATTCTAGACTAGCCAGGGAAGGTATAGAATGAGGCAACATTGATGTCACAGAAACCTGAAAATTCCAGCAGCTGGAGAGGGAATGGACAAGGACAGCCTCTTATTCCACATCTTCCTGCCTCAAAGAATTGTTGTCAAAGACATCAGAATGTCAACTTGAGCCCAAGACCACTTTGTCTGATGATGTGAAGTGGAGTCAAACTGTTTTGGAAAAGATGTCTTTGCCAAGTCACTTTTGATTCCAGAACTTAATGGAGGGCACTCAGGCTGACCTGAGTCCTTGTTTTAGAATCCTTGCTAAGCATGGATCTCATGTTAAAATTTGCCAAACAGAGAAAGAGAAGAGAGTTTTATTCTTGGGGTTTCGTCAGGGTGGAGTTTTATATATGTGGTTCTCTTCAAAGAGGCTCGTGTGAGGGAAATAAAAACAATTGTATGTTTTGTTTAAAATATCAGCATTGAGCTTAGGAGAAGCTCACAAAACCAGATTCTACTTAGTCATCTGGCAGGACCACCCCTCCCTCTGCAAAATCAGCTGACCAGCCCACACCTCCTGCTAGGTGGTCACATTCTAGCGTGCTCAGCCACCCACATCTACCAATTGAGTTACAGGCTGACCAAGAGTAGGTTGGATTTGTTCCCAGATGTATTTTATTTTCTCATTAAACTTGGTATTGAAATTGCCCAACTTTACTACTTATGTAACCTGATGAAATGTGAATGTGAAAATGAGTTACTTTTTTATTGTATTTAATGTAAATTAAATGCTTTCTTAATATTCCATAAATGTTAATCACTAAAAATATCATTTAATTAAATGTGAGTGAATCAAATGTAAAAAAAAGTGTTATACAAATCTGGGATTTGGGATTCAGAATGTTTCAGAATGTTTTCAGTTCTAGCTCTACTTTAAAGAAACCAGAATTGCAAATCATAAACAATACATTCTGAATGTGGTATATGCGAGAAAGAGCACATGGAACTCTTACCAGAAGACCCACATTTAAAGAAAAAATCTGTGTCCTTCATCAAAGACAAATAAATATGCCTTTTAGAAAATTTTAGGTTAAATTCAAATAATATTGTTTTTGATAAATGGGCATTGGATCCGAGGGATTCTCCTGAGCTAGTCATGAGTAGTCTGTTGACCTTCCATTTGTAAGTCACCTCCAAGACCTCAAGAGCAAGGGGGCTGCTGGGAGTTCCACACCCTGAACACACCCCAGGCCCTGGGACCTAGGGAGATGGGCAGCACAGCCTTATCGCAGGGATATGGGGAGGGACCTCCCGGGTCACATTCAGAGTGCTGAGCACTGCCCACATTCCAGGAATGTTCATTTTTATTTTTCTTTCCAAATTGCCCCCTGGCTACTTGCCTGCATACAAAAAAATGATGTTTAATTCCAGGCACATAGAAAAAGAAATGCAGGTTTTAGAATGTCAAAGGCACTGCCTTCTCTGTTCATGTTTTTTTTTTTATTCCAATGTTTCTTCAGGTTATAGAGATGGAATATTACCTGGGAGTTAGCAAACTTTCTCTGTAAAGGACCAGATGGTAAATATTTTAAGGTTTGTGGGCCAGAGAGTCTCTCTGGCAATAACTCAGTTCTACAGCTGATTTATTTCAATCTACTGTAGATTGAAAGCAGCCATAGACAATACATACATGAATGGGTGTGGCTGGGTGCCATTAAAACTTTATTTAAAGAACAGGTGGTGGACTGGATTTGGCCTGTGGACTTAGTTTGCCTACTGCTATGTCTACAGCAAGAGTTCTTAACTGGGTGAGGAATCAATAAAGTCTGTGAACATTTGTATAAGTTTTGGTTATGTATTTTTCTGGGGAGAGGAACTATATTTTTTTCAGATTTCAAAGATACCATAATTGATAACTTTAAGTCACATTGCTATAGAGAAATGGTCTCTTCTGGGATTTCATAGCTTTTTTTTTTTTTTTTTTTTTTTAGAAATACTGTATGGTTAGTCATTTATTCTTTAAAATTTTATTTTGAAATAATTATGGGTTTATAGGAAGTTGCAGAGATAGTACAGAGGGCTCCTGGTTATCCTTCACCTAGTCTCCTGGTGGTTACAGCTTCTTTAATTATAGTACAATATCAAAACCAGGAAACTGTCATTTGTGCAATATGTATATAGTGTATAGTTCTATGTTGTTTTAGCACGTGTAGATTTATGTAACCACTACCATCATCAGCCACCAATCTGTTTTCCATCTAAAAAATGACCTTCCGAGATTGGCTTTTATCACTCAGCATAATGCCCTTGAGATCCATTCTAGTTGTGTGTGCATTGTTTTTGTTGATAAGTACTATTGCTTGGCATGGATATACAACACTTTGTTAAACCATTCACCTATAGAGGGACATTTTGGTTGTTTTTAACTATTACAAATAAAGCTGTTGTGAAGAATTGTGTATAGGTTTTGTGTGGACATTGGTTTACTGGGATAAACGCTCAGGAGTGCAACTGGTGGGTCATATGATAAGTGCATATTTAGTTTTTTTAAAGAAACTACCAAATTATTTTCCAGAGTTAAAAATGTATGTTTTAAAGTGACTTGAACATATGACATGAACATGCACATGAAAGCATAAAAATGCAAGAACTTCAGGAAAATCTAAAATGTCTCCTTGCCCACTGCCCAGTCCCAGATGCCCTCTTCATAGGCCATCAGTGAGTGTGCATCCTCTCTTTCCCATACTGTTGTTCTAAAACCTGGCTTTGCCTTTCATCTTGGAGGTCTTTCTATGGAGCATTTATAAAGCTTTTTCATTCCTCTTTAACTGAGGAGTGGATATACCACTATGTAAGCATTCCTCATGTTTATGAACTTTGGTTATTTCTAAGTTTGCTGTCGTCAATAAATGATGCAATGAATATCTCTGAAATGCCTCTGTGTATACTATTGTGTTTTTCTAAGATAGATACATAGGAGTAAATTGTTGGGTCACAGACATGCCCATTTGTAATATTGATGAACACTGCCAAATTGCCTTCTTAAAGGAATGTATCAATCAATACTCCTACCAGCAATTAGGAAAGTTTACTTACACACTTGTCCACACCCAATATGTTCAATTTTATTAATTTTAAAAATTAATCTGATGAATGAAAACTATTTCTTTGTTATTTTAATTTGTATTTTTCTGATTAGCAATGAGGATACAGATCTTTTTCATAACTTAATTGACCATTTTATGTTATCTGCTCTAAATATTTGAATTTTGGGATCTTTTTTTCCCTTACTTTTTCTTATTGATTTTTAGTAGCTCCTTATTTCTATTAGACAGAAGTCCTTTGGATATTTTTTATATGCTGAAAATGTTTTTCCAAATCTGTTACTCATCTATTAAATTTGTTTTTGGTCTGTATGATGGTGCATGTGTGTTACTCACCTAGCTTCACTTAACTTAGTCTTGTTTTGTGTAGCCAAATGGATCAATCTTTTGCTTTAAGTCTCCTGGATTTTGTTCTTACCTGAGAAGCTCTTCCTCATTATAAATTATGAAAACATTCCCTTACATCTTTTTTTTTTTTTTTTTTTTTTTTTTTAGATGGAGTCTCGCTCTGTCGCCCAGGACGGAGTGCAATGGTGCAATCTCAGCTCACTGCAAGCTTCGCCTCCCAGGTTCACGCCATTCTCCTGCCTCAGCCTCCTGAGTAGCTGGGACTACAGGCGCCTGCCACCATGCTCGGCTAATTTTTTGTATTTTTAGTAGAGATGGGGTTTCACCATATTGGACAGGCTGGTCTCGATCTCCTGACCTTGTGATCTGCCTGCCTCGGCCTCCCAAAGTGCTGGGATTACAGGTGTGAGCCACTGTGCCCAGCCCCCTTACATCTTTTCTAAAGTTGTTGGTCTGCAAACTACTGGAACTGGTGGCCAATGGTTCAGCTAGCACATTAAATCTAAATCTTGCATTAGGGAACTCATATCAATAAATTTGACTTGCTCCAACATTATGTTCACCCTCCTGGGTCTAGCATCATTGCAATTTATTTCTAAATCTCCCCCCTGACTTCTGCCAATGTAAACTAAAAAATCTTGAAATTCTTTTCATATTTAAGCTATATCTTTCCTAGACTGCAATCTTTTGACTTGTCTTGAGATGTACGTGGGAATCTACTCTAGACATATCTGGGGGCAATAATGGGTGGAGGAGGTCTTAAGGAGTACTGGCATTCCCTCTCAAGGCAGCTACCTCAGATGAGATGATTACAAGTGTTCAAGCAAGGGAAGTTCGTTTTTCTCAAAAGGAAAAGAAAGGTTGCATCTTTTGGCAAAAGAGATTCAGGGGGTTTGGGGTGTATTAGTCTGTTCTCACACTGTTAAAAAGATACCTGAGTCTGGGTAATTTATAAAGGAAAGAGGTTTAATGTACTCACAGCTCTACATGGCTAGGGAGGCCTCATAATCATGGTGGAAGAAAAGGAGGAGCAAAGGCACATCTTACATAGCAGTAGGCAAGAGAGCTTGTGCATGGGAACTCCCATTTATAAAACCATTAGATTTCATGAGACTTATTCACTACCATGAGAACAGTGTGGGGGAAACCACTCCCATGATTCAATTATCTCCACCTGGCCCCACCCTTAACACATGGGGATTATTACAATTCGAGGTGAGATTGGGGTGGGGGCACCAGGGCCAAACCATGTCATTCTGCCTTTGGTCCCTCCCAAATCTCATGTCCTCACATTTCAAAACCAATCATGCCTTCCCAATAGTCCCCCAAAGTCTTAACTCATTGCAGCATTAACTCAAAAGTCCACAGTCCAAAGTCTCATCTGAGACAAGTCAAGTCCCTTCCTCCTATGAGCCTGTAAAATCAAAAGCAAGTTAGTTACTTCCTAGATACAAGGGGAATTGGGTAATTCCTAGATACAGGCATTGGGTAAGTATACCCATTCCAAATGAGAGAAATTGGCCAAAACAAAGGGGATACAGGTCCCATGCAAGTCCAAAATCCAATGGAGCAGTCAAGTCTTGAAGCTCTGAAATAATTTCCTTTGACTCCATGTCTCACTTTCAGGTCATGCTGATACAAGGGGTGGGCTCCCACGGCCTTGAGCAGCTCCACCCCTGTGGCTTTGCAGGTTACAGCCCCCCAACTCCCTCCTGCTTTCACTGGTGTTGAGTGTCTGCAGCTTTTCCAGGCACACAGTGCAAGCTGTTGGTGGATCTACTATTCTGGGGTCTGGAAGATGATGGCCCTCTTCTCACAGCTCCACTAGGCAGTGCCCCAGTGGGTACTCTGTGTGGTGGCTGCAACTCCACATTCCCCTTCCTCACTGACCTAGCAGAGATTCTCCATGAGGGCCCACCCCTGTAGCAACTTCTACCTGGACATCAAGGCATTTCCATACACCCTCTGAAATCGAGGTGGAGGTTCCCAAACCTCAATTCTTGACTTCTGGGCACCTGCAGGCTCAACACCAAATGGAAGCTGCCAAGGATTGGGACTTGCACCCTCTGAAGCCACACGCTGAGCTGTATCTTGGCCTCTTTTAGACACAGCTGGAGTGGCTGGCACACAGGCCACAAAGTCCCTAAGCTGCACAGAGCAGGGGGGCCCTAGGTCTGACCCAAGAAACCATTTTTTCCTCCTACTGCTCCAAGCCTTTGATGGGAGGGGCTGCTACAAAGGTCTCTGACATGCCCTAGAGACAGTGTCCCCATTGTCTTGGGGAGTAACATTTGGCTCCTAGCTACTTATGCAAATTTCCACAGTGGCTTGGATTTCTCCTCAGAAAGGAAGTTTTTCTTTTCTATTGCATCATCAGACCGCAAATTTTCCTAACTTTTATGCTCTCCTTCCCTTTTAAACAGAAGTTCCAATTCCAAGCCATGTATTTGTGAATAAATAAAACTGAATGCTTTTAGCAGCACCCAAGTCACCTCTTGAACGCTTTGCTGCTTAGAAATTTCTTCCACCCGATGCCCTGAATCTTCTCTCTCAAGCTCAAAGTTCCACAAATCTCTATGGCAGGGGCAAAATGCCACCAGTCTCTTTGCTAAAGCATAACAAAAGTCACCTCTGCTCCAGTTCTCAACAAGTTCCTCATCTCCATCTGAGACCACTTAAGCCTGGACTTCATTGTTCATGTCACTATCAGTCATTCAACAAGTATCTAGGAAGTTCCAAACTGTCCCACATCTTCCTATCTTCTTCTGAGCTCTCCAAACTGTTCCAACCTCTGCCTGTTACCTAGTTACAAAGTCACTTCTACATTTTCAGGTATCTCTACAGCAGCACCCCATTACCTGGTAAGGACTGAATTCTGATTTTTTTTTTAAATCTTGAACAAATTCCTATCTAAGGGGCCAGGGGAGTCATGCCCTACATATCATAAACTCATCAGATAAATTTTGTTTAACCCTATATATTGTGACTTACTTTCCAACCTGACTTTGGCATAACATTACAAGACAAGGAATAAAATACAAATATTTTACCCCAAAACATGTTTCTTTGCATATTTTGAAATGGTCCTGCAAAGCTGTTCTTTGTGGGGGAAAATTTGCATCTGTAAAGAATCTCTGTTAACATAGCTAGATCTTTGTCTTCCAGACCCTCCCAATCCTAAAGAGATTAACTAAGATCTGAATAGGAAATATTTGTCATCTATTTTCTCTAAGGGCAGCCACTATAAAACTTCAAAAGAACTTTGGTCTCCACAATCTTTATCCTTTTTTTTTTTAAATTACACTTTAAGTTCTAGAGTACATGTGCACAACGTGCAGGTTTGATACATAGGTATACATGTGCCATGTTGGTTTGCTGTACCCATTAATTCATCATTTATACTGGGTATTTCTCCTAATGCTATCCCTCCCTCAGCCCCCCACCCCACAACAGGCCCTGGTGTGTGATGTTTCCTCCCTGTGTTCAAGTGTTCTCATTGTTCAATTCCCACCTATGGGTGAGAACATGTGGTATTTGGTTTTCTGTCCTTGTGAAGTTTGCTCAGAATGATGGTTTCCAGCTTCATCCATGTCCCTGCAAAGGATATGAACTCATCCTTTTTTATGGCTGCATAGTTTCCATGGTGTATATGTGCCACATTTTCTTATTCCAGTCTATCATTGTTGGACATTTGGGTTGGTTCCAAGTCTTTGCTATTGTGAATAGTGCTGCAATAAACATACATGTGCATGTGTCTTTATAGTAACAAGATTTATAATCCTTTGGGTATATACCCAGTAATGGGATCACTGGGTCAAATGGTATTTCTAGTTCTAGATCATTGAGGAATTGCCACACTGTCTTCCACAATGGTTGAACTAATTTACACTCCCACCAACAGTGTAAAAGCATTCCTATTTCTCCACATCCTCTTCAGCATCTGTTGTTTCCTGACTTTTTAATGATTGCCATTCTAACTTGTGTGAGATGGTATCTCATTGTGGTTTTGATTTGCATTTCTCTGATGACCAGTGTTGATGAGCATTTTTTCATTTGTCTGTTGGCTGCATAAATGTCCTCTTTTGAGAAGCGTCTGTCCATATCCTTTGCCCACTTTTTGATGGGGTTGTTTTTTTCTTGTAAATTTGTTTGAGATCTTTGTAGATTTTGGATATTAGCCCTTTGTCAGATGGGTAGATTGCAAAAGTTTTCTCCCATTCTGTAGGTTGCCTGTTCACTCTGATGGTAGTTTTTTTTTGCTGTGCAGAAGCCCTTTAATTAGATCCCATTTGTCTATTTTGGCTTTTGTTGCTACTGCTTTTGCTGTTTTAGTCATGAAGTCCTTGCCCATGCCTATGTCCTGAATGGTATTGTTTAGGTTTTCTTCTAGGGTTTTTATGGTTTCAGGTGTAACATTTAAGTTTTTAATCCATCTGGAATTAATTTTTGTATAAGGTGTAAGGAAGGTATCCAGTTTCAGCTTTCTACATATGGCTAGGCAGTTTTCCCAGCACCATTTATTAAGTAGGGAATCCTTTCCCCATTTCTTGTTTTTGTTAGGTTTGTCAAAGATCAGATGGTTGTAGATGTGTGGTGTTATTTCTGAGGCCTCTGTTCTGTTCCATTTGTCTATATATCTGTTTTGGTACCAGTACCATGCTGTTTTGGTTACTGTAGCCTTGTAGTATAGTTTGAAGTCAGGTAGCGTGATGTCTCCAGCTTTGTTCTTTTGGCTTAGGATTGTCTCAGCAATGTGGGTTCTTTTTTGGTTCCATATTAACTTTAAAGTAGTTTTTTCCAATTCTCTGAATAAAGTCATTGGTAGCTTGATAGGGATGGCATTGAATCTACAAATTACCATTGGCAGTATGGCCATTTTCACGATATTGATTCTTCCTATCCATGAGCATGGAATGTTCTTCCATTGTTTGTGTCCTCTTTTATTTCCTTGAGCCGTGGTTTGTATCTCTCCTTGAAGAGGTCCTTCGCATCCCTTGTAAGTTGTATTTCTAAGTATTTTATTCTGTTTGTAGCAATTGTGAATGGGATTTCACTCATGATTTGGCTCTCTGTTTGTCTGTTAATGGTGTATAGGAATGCTTGTGATTTTTGCATGTTGACTTTGTATCCTGAGACTTTGCTGAAGTTGCTTATCAGCTTAAGGAGATTTTGGGCTGAGATGATGGGGTTTTCTAAATATACAATCACGTCACCTGCAAACAGGGAAAATTTGACTTCGTCTTTTCCTAATTGAATAGCCTTTATTTCTTTCTCTTGCCTGATTGCCCTGGCCAGAACTTTCAACATTATACTGAATAGGAGTGGTGAGAGAGGGCATCCCTGTCTTGTGCCAGTTTTCAAAGGGAATGCTTCCAGTTTTTGCCCATTCAATATGATATTGGCTGTGGGTTTGTGATAAATAGCTCTTACTATTTTGAGATACGTCCCATCAACACCTAGTTTATTGAGAGTTTTTAGCATGAAGCGCTGTTGAATTTTGCCAAAAGCCTTTTCTGCATCTATTGAGATAATCATGTGGTTTTTGTCTTTGGTTCTGCTTATGTAATGGATTACATTTATTGATTTGGGTATGTTGAACCAGCCTTGCATCCCAGGGATGAAGCCAACTTGATCGTGCTGGGTAAGCTTTTTGATGTGCTGCTGGATTCGGTTTTCCAGTATTTTATTGAGGATTTTTGCATTGATGTTCATCAGGGATATTGGTCTAAAATTCTTTTTTTTGTTGTGTCTCTGCCAGGCTTTGGTATCAGGACGATGCGGTACTCATAAAATGAGTTAGGGAGGATTCCCTCTTTTTCTATTGATTGGAATAGTTTCAGAAGGAATGGTACTAGCACTCCTCTTTGTACCTCTGGTAGAATTCGGCTGTGAATCTGTCTGGTCCTGGACTTTTTTTGGTTGGTAGGCTATTAATTATTGCCTCAATTTCAGAGCCTGTTATTGTTCTATTCAGAGATTCCACTTCTTTCTGGTTTAGTCTTGTGAGGGTGTATGTGTCCAGGAATTCATCAACTTCTTCTAGATTTTCTAGTTTATTTGCACAGAGGAGTTTATACTATTCTCTGATGGTAGTTTGTATTTCTGTGGGATCAGTGGTGATATCCCCTTTATCATTTTTTATTGCATCTATTTGATTCTTCTCTCTTTTCTTCTTCATTAGTCTTGATAGCAGTCTATCAATTTTGTTGATCTTTTCAAAAAACCAGCTCCTGGATTCATTGATTTTTTGAAGGGTTTTTTTTGTGTCTCTATCTCCTTCAGTTCTGCTCTGATTTTAGTTATTTCTTGCCTTCTGCTAGCTTTTGAATTTGTTTGCTCTTGCTTCTCTAGTTCTTTTAATTGTGACGTTAGGGTCTCAATTTTAGATCTTTCCTGCTTTCTTTTGTGGCATTTAGTGCTATAAATTTCCCTCTACACACTGCTTTAAATGTGTCCCAGAGATTCTGGTATGTTGTGTCTTTGTTCTCATTGGTTTCAAAGAACATCTTTGTTTCTGCCTTCATTTCATTGTTTACCCAGTAGTCATTCAGAAGCAGGTTGTTCAGTTTCCATGTAGTTGTGTGGTTTTGAGTGAGTTTCTTAATCCTGAGTTTTAATTTGATTGCATTGTGGTCTGAGAGACAGTTTGTTGTGATTTCTATTCTTTTACATTTGCTGAGGAGTGCTTTACTTCCAGCTATGTGGTCAATTTTGGAATAAGTGCAATGTGGGGCTGAGAAGAATGTGTATTCTGTTGATTTGGGGTGGAGAGTTCTGTAGATGTCTATTAGGTCTGCTTGGTGCAGAGCTGAGTTCAAGTCCTGGATATCCTTGTTAACCTTCTGTCTCGTTTATCTGTCTAATATTGACAGTGGGGTGTTAAAGTCTCCCATTATTATTGTGTGGGAGTCTAAGTCTCTAAGTAGTTCTCCAAGGACTTGCTTTATGAATCTGGTTGCTCCTGTATTGGGTGCATATATATTTAGGATAGTTAGCTCTTCTTTTTGAATGGATCCCTTTACCATTATGTAATGGCCTTCTTTGTCTCTTTTGATCTTTGTTGGTTTAAAGCCTGTTTTATCAGAGACTAGGATTGCAACTCGTTTTTTTTTTGTTTTGTTTTCCATTTGCTTGGTAGATCTTCCTCCATCCCTTTATTTCAAGCCTACGTGCGTCTTTGCACATGAGATGGGTCTCCTGAATACAGCACACTGATGGGTCTTGACTCTTTATCCAATTTGCCAGTCTGTGTCTTTTAATTGGCACATTTAGCCCATTTACATTTAAGGTTAATATTGTTATGTGTGAATTTGATCCTGTCATTATGATGTTTGCTGATTATTTTGCCTGTTAATTGATGCAGTTTCTTCCTAGGATTGATGGTCTTTACAATTTGGCATGTTTTTGCAGTGGCTGGTGCTGGTTTTTTCTTTCTATGTTTAGTGCTTCCTTCAGGAGCTCTTGTAAGGCAGGCCTGGTGGTGACAAAATCTCTCAGCATTTGCTTGTCTGTAAAGGATTTTATTTCTCTTTCACTTATGAAGCTTAGTTTGTCTGCACATGAAATTCTGCGTTGAAAATTCTTTTCTTTAAGAATGTTTAATATTGGCCCCCACTCTCTTCTGGCTTGTAGAGTTTGGGCTGAGAGATTCACTGTTAGTCTGATGGGCTTCCCTTTGTGGGTAACCTGACCTTTCTCACTGGCTGCCCTTAACATTTTTTCCTTCATTTCAACCTTGGTGAATCTGACAATTATCTGTCTTGGGGTTGCTCTTCTCGAGGAGTATCTTTGTGGTGTTCTCTGTATTTCCTGAATTTGAATGTTGGCCTGTCTTGCTAGGTTTGGGAAGTTCTCCTGGATAATATCCTGAAAAGTGTTTTCCAACTTGGTTTTATTCTCCCTGTCACTTTCAGGTACACCAATCCATCATAGATTTGGTCTTTTCACATAGTCCCATATTTGTTGGTGGCTTTGTTCATTTCTTTTTACTGTTTTTTCTCTAAACTTCTCTTCTTGCTTTATTTCATTCATTTGATCTTCAATCACTGACCCTTTCTTCCACTTGATCAAATCAGCTACTGAAGCTTTTGCATGCGTCATGTAGTTCTCATGCTATGGTTTTCATCTCCATTAGGTCATTTAAGGTCTTCTCTACACTGTTTATTCTAGTTAGTCATTCGTCTTTTTTCAAGATTTTTAGCTTCCTTGCGTTGGGTTCAAACACCTTCCTTTAGCTCAGAGAAGTTTGTTATTACCGACCTTCTGAAGCCTACTTCTGTCAACTCGTTAAAGTCATTCTCCGTCCTCCTTTGTTCCGCTGCTGGTGAGGAGCTGCGATCCTTTGGAGGAGAAGAGTTGCTCTGGCTTTTAAAATTTTTGGCTTTTCTGCTCTGGTTTCTCCCCATCTTTGTGGTTTTATCTACCTTTGGTCTTTGATGTTGGTGACCTACAGATGGGGTTTCGGTGTGGATGTCCTTTTTGTTGATGTTGATGCTATTGCTTTATGTTTGTTAGTTTTTCTTCTAACAGTCATGTCCCTCAGCTGCAGGTCTGTTGGAGTTTGCTGGAGGTCCACTCCAGACCCTGTTTGCCTGGGTATCACCAGTAGAGGCTGTAGAACAGCAAATATTGAAGAACAGCAAATATTGCTGCCTGATCCTTCCTCTGGAAGCTTTGTCCCAGAGGGGCACCCGCCTATATGAGGTGTCAGTCAGCTTCTACGGGGAGGTGTCTCCCAGTTAGGCTACATGGGGGTCATGGACCCACTTGAGAAGGCAGTCTGTCCATTCTCAGAGCTCAAAAACTGTGCTGGGAGAACCACTGCTCTATTCAGAGCTGTCAGACAGGGACATCTAAGTCTGCAGAAGTTTTTGCTGCCTTTTATTCAGCTATGCCCTGCCCCCAGAGGTGGAGTCTATAGAGGCAGCAAGCCTCGCAGCACTGCAGTAGGCTCTGCCCCATTTGAGCTTTCTGGCAGCTTTGTTTACCTACTCAAGCTTCAGCAATGGCAGATGCTCCTGCCACTGCCAGGCTGCTGCCTTGTAGGTTGATCTCAGACTGTTGCACTAGCAGTGAGCAAGGCTCTGAGGGCATGGGACCCACCGAGCCAGGCATGGGATATAATCTCCTGTTGTGCTGTTTGCTAAGACTGTTGGAAAAGTGCAGTATTTAAGCGGGAGTGTCCCGTTTTTCCAGGTACAGTCTGTCATGGCTTCCCTTGGCTAGGAAAGGGAAATCCCCTGACCTCTTGCGCTTCCCAGGTGAGGTGACACCCCACCCTGCTTCAGCCCTCCATGGGCTGCACCCACTGTCCCACCAGTCCCAATGAGGTGAACCAGGTACCTCAGTTGGAAATGCAGAAATCACCCATCTTCTGCATTGATCACGCTGGGAGCTGCAGACTAGAGCCGTTTCTATTTGATCGTCTTAGAACAGACCTCCACAATCTTTATCTTAACCTGAACATTCCCTTTCTATCAATTCCAGATCTTTAGACAAACCCAACCAATTGTCAACCAGAAAATGTTTAACTTCACCTATAGCCTGGAAGCCCCCGCCATGCCCTCCTCACTTTGAGTTGTCCTGCCTTTCTGGACCAAACCAATGTATTTCTTAAATGCATTTGATTGATGCCTCATGCCTCTCTAAAATGTATAAAACCAAGCTGTGCCCCGACCACCTTGGGCACATGTTCTCAGGACCTCCTGAGAGCTGTGTCACGAGCCATGGTCACTCATATTTGGCTCAGAATAAATCTCTTTAAATATTTTATAGAGTTCAACACTTTTCTTTGACACTGGTACCAATTTATTGTATTATTCTGTTCTCATGATACTAATAAAGACATACCACACTGGGTAATTTACAAAGGAAAAAGTTTTGGCTTACAGTTCCACATGGCTGGGGAGGCCTCACAATTGTGGTGGAAAGCAAAGGAGGAGCAAAAGCACGTATTACATGACAGAAAGCAAGAGGAGTCCTGGCATGTAAAGGGGAATTCCCTATTATGAAACCATCAGATATCATGAGACTTATTCACTACCACAAGAACAGCACAGGAAAAACCTGCCCCCATGATTCAATTACGTTGCATTTGGTACCTCCCATGACACGTGGGGATTATTACAATTCAAGGTGAGATTTGAGTGGGGACACAGAGCCTAACTATATCATGGGGGTTCAAGATCTTCAGATTCATTTGGGTTCAGTCAGTGTCTCCATTCCAGTTCTGAGATTCCCTCCTTCCTACCCATTTTGTAACTTTTGTTTAAGAGACCTGATGAGGGTATGAATTCAGCCTATGGTGCAATTCTACAGCCTATAATATCAATGTTTCTCTTCTCTCTTGCTCCTTCCTTCCCATCTCTGGCCAGTGTGACCCACTGTATAGGAAGCCAGGTGGTGACGGGTCTGAGAAATGTCATTTTCAGGTTTCAACAGTTGATGCCACAGAAGAGAGTGCAGGAGGACAGGCATACCTGCTTTCTCAGGAAGCTATTGGAAATTATGCTTCTTTAAAATGTGACAAAAATCAAGAAGGAGATGGCATCTAGGAGACAGGAGACAAAAGGAACACTCAGGAAGGTGGGGAAAGAGAGCCCAGGGCAACAGCTCTGCTGCAGACCTAGAGATCCACCAGGCGAAAGTGGAGCAGGAGGGCTGGGGGCTCCATGTGGGAGGTCTCTCAGAACAAAAGAAAAGAAGAGAAACCAATGCGTGACGTATTTGAATACATTGAGGGGAGAGCTATTATTCTGTCAGATAGTTTGGAGGAAAATTAATGATGAATATGTAGAAAACAAAACAATAAAAACCAGTGTTCAGGAAAAGCAAGATACTGTAAAAGAAAGGAAGCATAATCATAGTACACAAAATGACTCAGTGTTAATAGCCATAATGACATGAAAGTTCAGTATTTGATTTAATAAAAATGTGACAAAGTTTAAAGGGAACAGAAAAGCTGTGTGTTGGGATGAAGGGAGAGATGAAGAGAGTTACATTTTTATCTGTTATATTAAAAAGTAAATAGATAATATTTAAGCTGAAAAATCAAGAAATGTCAATATAAAGAAGTTATTTATATATATGGAGATGAATCTCAGGGGGAAAATTCACCTAAAATAGTTGAAAATTTTCTCTGAGAAATTAGTAGAGGTGAAATAGGGCAAGGAAATTTTGTTTTCATTATAAGTCTTATGATATTTAGCTTTTAAAAATGTATTCATAATATTACTTTTATAAAATATTAACATGTATTTTAAAATCCACAAATGTTAAGACATTTTTACCAGACTAAAAAATGATCATCAATGGTTTTATAATGCTAACATTTTTTATTGAACTCTTCTCAAGGTCTTTTGTAGAAAATACACATTCATGCTTACCCAATCTAAATATGGAAGGACCTCATGATCACTTAAGTTGTATTCCTGATTCTTTTATTTGAGATTCACTTTAAGTCTAACCTAGATAATAATCAATGTATTTTTAAAAATTTCTTCACCTGTGTTACTGAAAGGCCTATCTAAAATTCTTGACATACATTCTGGACAACTTTATATTGTTTTGGGTGTTTTATTTCTTTAAGAAAATAGATGCTCCTCTCCCAACTTTACTGTTTTTCACACTTTTTTCTATTTTGTTTGCCTAGCCCACAGTTCCCCTATGTATTCTGGTTAGATAGCATTGCAAAGAAAAGAATCAAATTTAAAAAAATACAAAGATGGAAAAAAAACCCTCCAGAAAACCAATGTCCAATGTCCTAGGAATGCTGAGAATAAAGTGAGCTGGAAGAATTTGGCAGGATCTGGTCCCATGGGTATTTTTCCACAGTGTACAATAGACTCCACTGGCTGTAGACCTAGGTTGATAGGGCTCAGGGGTAAGTTTGGTTGAGTTGTATGGGCTTTGTGATGAGTGCAGGGATTTCTACTTTTGGTCTTGCTGCCATCAAAGCTAGGTCATGACAGCAGCAACGGTCTCTCTTCTTAGTTCAATGGAATGTCTAGTTTCTGAACTTGGAGGTAAATCATCTTTTCTTTATTTTTTCTTGGTCTGCAATAAGAAATAAAAATGGAGAGGGGAGAAAGAAATTATGAGGAGGCTGAAAACCAAAATAAAGTGGGTAATAAATGAGAGGAACAACAAATGATTATAAACTTTGTTCAGGATTAGTCTTGCAATGTGTTCTGAGTGGTGGTTCTCACAAAGAAAATGGACAGAACTTGTTGATAACTCATGTCGACAGAGTTATTCCTAAAATTATCTTGTTGAATTGGTACTGGCCTAAATAAGTTCCTTTTTTAGGGTGTTCACCTTTCTCTGTAATAGAGAATGTGGGTAAAGTCTAAACTTAATCTTATATCAGTTAAAGATGAAGATTGCAAAATCTTGTTATCATTAGTTATGCAAATAGAATTTGAAAAATTATTTTTTCAAAGTGTATTTACTTTTCAACAGCTTGATAAATGAAGACTGCAATTAAAACATTTGTTCAAATTGCAAGTTTTCTCAATCATCTTGTCTTCGTGAATGCCAGGACATTGCTGATATTCATCGTAGAAATGCTGCTTTCTTCATTTTGTTGTTCCCAGCCATGCCCTTTGGACCTGTTCCTGTTTATAGCAATATTGAATCAGCTGTGGGCTGCTCCCAGCCACCCAGCATCTCACAGAATTTCCCCCACCTGGAGTTGGTTAGTATTGTCTCGTTTTCTGGACCAATCCAATCTGAGACGAGGGATGGCAGAAGCTTACCCAAATCACCCTATGGTTTTGGAATTCTCTAAAGCTCCAGATGGGGAGGTAAAATCAAGTCAGTTGAGCTCCTCTGGTCTCTCTGCCAACAACAATAACAACAACTACAGCAGCAGAAACAACAACAGTAGAAATAGCAGCAATAGAAGCAGCAGCAGGAACAACAAAAGCAAGAACAGCAGCAACAGTAGCAGCAATAGTAGCAACAGCAGCAACAACAGTAATTACAGCAGCAACTGCAATAGCAACAGTAGAAGCATCAGTGACAACAGCAGCAGTAACAACAACAAAAGCAACAGCAGCAACAATAGTAATAGCAACAGCAACAGTAACAGTAGCAGCAACAGATATGGCAACAGTAATACCATCAGCAGCAACAGCAATAGCAACAATAGGATCCTCAGTAGTAACAGCAATAGCAACAGTAGCAACACGAGCAACAGCAGCAGCAACAATAGTATCAGTAATAGCAATAGTAACAGTAACAGCATCAGCAGCAGCAGCAACAGCAACAGCAGCAGCAACAATAACAAAAGCAACAGAAACAGTAACAACAAAACCAACAATAGCAACAACAGCAGCAACAATTTTAGCAATAGCAGCAACAATAGCAACAGAATCAACACCATCACAATTAAGAGCAACAACAGCAGCAACAATAGCCACAGAAATAGCAAAATCAGCAGTAGCAACAACAGAAGTCGCAGCAATAACAGCAGCAGCAGCAACAGAAGTAGCAGTAGTAATAGCAGCAACAGCAGCAGCAGCAGCAGCAGCAATCATTACCATAGTAGCAACAACAGTAGCAGCAACACCAGCAGCAGTAGCAGCAGCAATAGCAACAGTAATAGTAGCAGCAACAGCAATAGCAACAGTAGCAGCATCAGCAACAATAACAGCAACAGAAGCAATAACAGCAGCAGCAACAACAGCAGTACGAACACCAGCAGTAACAACAGCAGCAGCAACATCAGCAACAACAGCAGCAACAACAGTAGCAGCAGTAGGAACAGCAGCAATAATTATAACAGCAGCAGCAACAACAGTAACAACAGTAGAAATAAGTACAATAGCAATAACAACAGTAATAGCAACAGCAAAAACAATAGCAGCAGTAACAATAACAACAGCAATAGCAGCAACAACAGCAACAAGAAAAATGACAATAGCAGCAGCAACAACAGCAGCAGCAGCAACAACATCAGCCACCGGTGAGTGACTACTAACTAAATACCAAGCACTGCGACGGGTGCTTCGTCGCACTGTCCCATTCATGAGCCCAACCCTCTGATGGTGAGACAAATTCATGGGCCACAAAATCTAGCTGCCAGGATTGAAACTTTGGCTTTGTCACTGATTGGCTGTGTGGTTTTGAGCAAGTCCTTTACTTTCTCTGGCCTGTTTTTTTTTTTTTTCCAGTTGTCAGTGGGGTTAATAATAATAACGCCTATTTCATAGGGTTGCTGCAAGGATTCAATGAGGTAATACAGGCATACCTCAGAGATATTGGGGATTCACTTCCAGACTACCACAATAAAGTAAGTTTTACCATAAAGTGAATCATACATTTTTGTTGGTTTCCCAGTTCATATAAAAGTTACGGTTACACTATACTGTAGTCTATTAAATGTGCAATATTATGTCTGAGAGAACAATGTAATTTAAAAATACTTTATTTTTTAAAAATGCTAACAATCATCTGAACCTTCAATTTGTGGTAATCTTGCTGGTGGAGGCTCTTGCCTCTATGTTGATGGCTGCTGACTGAGCAAGACAGTGGTTGCTGAAGGTTGAAGTGGCTGTTGAAACTTCTTAAAACAAGAATATGAAGTTTTCAATGTTGATTGACTCTTCTCTTCATGAAAGATTTCTCTATAGCATGCAATGCTATTTCATAGCATTTTACCCACAGTAGAGCTTCTTTAAAAATTGGAGTCAATCCTCTCAAACCCTGATGCTGTTTTGTTAACTAAGTTTATGTAATATTCTAAATCCTTTGTTGTCATTTCAACAATGTTCACAGGATCTCCACCAGGAGTAGATTCCATCTCAAGAAACCACTTTCTAAGCTCATCTGTAAGAAGCAACTCCTCATCTGTTCAAGTTTTATCACGAGGTTGAAGCAATTCAGTCACATCTTCGGGCTCTACTTCTAATTCTAGTTCTTTTGCTATTTCTATTGTATCTGCAGACACTTTTTATGCTGAAGTCTTGAGCTCTTCAAAGTTATCCATGAGGGCTGTAATCAACTTCTTCAAAACTCCCATTAACGTTCATATTTTGACCTCCTCTAATGATCCACAAATGTTCTTAGTGGCATCTACAATGGTGAAAGATTTCCAGAAGGTTTTTCAATGTACTTTGCCTAGAACAATCAGAGGAATTACCATCTACGGTAGCTATAGCCTTATAAAGTATATTTCTTAAATAATAATACTTGAATGTCAAAACTACTCCTTGATCCATGGGCTGCAGAATGGATGTTGTGTTAGCAGGCATTAAAACAACATTAATCTTTAGGTACATCTCCATCAGAGCTCTTGGGTGACCAGGTGTATGTATTGTCAATGAGCAGTAATCTTTTGAAAGCAATCTTCTTTTCTAAGCAGTAGGTCTAAACGGCGGGCTTAAAATAGTCAATAAACCATGCTGTAAACAGATGTACTGTTATCTGTACACAGGCTTTGCTATTCCATGAGCACAAGCAGAGTAGATTTAGCATAATTCTTAGGGACCCTAGGGTTTTCATGGTAAATGAACACTGGCTTCACCTTCTAGTCACCAGCTGCATTCACCCTTCACAAGAGAGTCAACCTGTCCTTCGAGCTTTGAAACCAGACATTGATTTTTTCCTCGCTCTTCATGAAAGTCCTAAATGGCATCTTCTTCCAATAGAAGGCTGTTGTGTCTATATTGAAAATCTGTTGTTTAGTGTGATCACCTTTATCAGTGATCTTTGTTAGATCTGGATAACTTGCTGCAGCTTCTACATCAGCACTTGCTGCTTCATTTTGCACTTTCAAGTTATGGAGATGGCTTCTTTCCTTAAGCCTTATGAACCAAACTTACTAACTTCGAATTTTTCTTCTGCTACTTCTTCACCTGTCTCAGCCTTCATATAATGGAAAAGAGTTAGGGCTTTGTTCTGGGTTAGGCTTTGGCTTAAGGGAATGTTGTGACCGGTTTGATCTTCTATCCAGACCACTCAAGCTTTCTCCATATCAGCAATAAGGCTGTTTCATTTCTCATTTGTAGCATTTTTATACTTCCTTCAAGAACTTTTCCTGTGCATTCTCGACTTGGCTACCTGGTACAAGAGTCCTCACTTTCAGCTTATGCTGGCTTTCAACATGACTTCCTCATTGAGCTTAATCATTTCTGCCTTTTGCTTTACAGTTGAGACTTGCAACGCTTCCTTTCATTTAACACCTAGAGGGCATTGTAGAGCTATTAATTGACCTAATTTCAATATGGTTGTGTCTTGGGCCATAGGAAGGCCCAAGGAGAGGGAGAGAGATGGGGGAATGCTCAGTGTGTGGAACAGTTAGATCACACGCATTTATCAATTAAGTTTGCTGTTTTACACAGCCATGGTTTGTGGTGCCCTAAAACAATTACAATAGCAGTATCAAAGATCACTGATTGCAGATCACCATCACAGATATGATAATAATGGAAAAGTTTAAAATATTGTGAGAATTACCAAAACATGCCACAGTGACATGAAGTGAGCACCTGCTGTTGGAAAAATGCTGCAAATAAACTTGCTTAATGTAGGGTTGCTGTATACCTTCAATCTGTTAAAAAACACAATATCTGCAAAGCACAATAAAATGAAGTGCAATAAAAGAAGGTGCATGGGAAGGGCATGGAAAGCACTGGGTAGAGCTCTTAGTAAATGTTAGCTATTGTTATCCTCATTTTACAGAAAGGAAAACAGGCTTAAGAAGTGAGATAAGGTATTAGGTATAAGTTCACAGGTTATATTTGTAACTAGGACAGGTTTAGTGCCCTTAGGAACCATAACAATTTAATCAGGAACCAATCGACACTTAATTAGTGTCAGGCATATTTTCTTCTTTAATCCAGTGAGTAGGTACTGTTGT